>NC_000001.11:56675047-56826562 GCF_000001405.40 Homo sapiens | reverse complement strand
GGGTAACAGGTATGCAAGGGACAGCATTCCAGGTAGAGAAAATGGGATAGGCCAACATCCAGAGGCCAGATGCAGCATGGAGAGCTCAGAAATGAAGAAATTCAGTCTAGCAAGTATAGGGAGCCCAGTGATGGGAGCCAAGGCTGGAGAAGCACCAAGGGGCTGATTCTAAAGAGTCTTGTATGTCCTGGGAAGGATTTGGACTTGCCCCTGTAGGCATTAGAGAGTTAGAGGATGTTTTCCATGGTGGAGTGTCATGGTCAGATTTGTCTTGGGAAGATCAATCAGGTAAAACTAAGAAGACTCATTTGGTGTGAGGTGGGGGATTGAAGGCAGGGGGTACCCCTCCCAGGACTAAACCTACAACCCCCCATAGAGGGGAATGAGGGAACCACATTGATTGAAGGGATGTTTCTGAGGTCTAGTCATCTCCTGAGGTGAAGCTAGACTCTCATTCCCTTGATGCAAAGATTATGCCTACTTTGTGCCAGTGACCATCGGGCACCCACTGTGGGAATGCGTGCCTAGCAGGCATGCTCACTGAACGCTGTTGAGTGAGGCGTAGTCCACTGCACTTGAGAGGTGAAGGATCAATGGGAGTCAGGAAAGTCCAGGTTTTCTGCTCAGGAAAGAGGATGAGCTTGATGCTGCTTGGAGCAGGTTTGGGGGTCAGATCATTGATTAAATTATGGTCTTGTTTAGTTTGAGGTATCTATGAAACACCCAAGGGAGAAATGCAGCAGGTAGTTGGTTTTGTGGGTCACTGTGAGTCCTCAATCCATAGAACAAAGCCTAGCCCAACACACTGAGTAGGTGTTCAATAAACATGTGTTGGATGAATGAGTAAGTACATTCAGGAATGACCGGACTTCATGACTGTCTTTGACAAAGTGGGGGCGCTTGTTATTGTATTCCCTATTTTTTTCATGGCACTTGAGGGTATGAGTACTCATATGATTCAGCTGTTTGTTTAGTGCCTTACACCCTAACTAGACTACAGGTTCCGTAGGGTGAGAATAGTGTGAATTTTGTTCCCCGCTGTGTATCTTGGCCTAACCTAGACCATAGTGGAAATTAGGTAAGCATTTCCTGAATGGATGAAGAGACATGGATGTGGGCATGGGCAGGATGCAGGTGGAAGCCAAGAGAAAGGAAGGGAGCAGGTGAGCAGGGTGACCACATCAAGCGTGGAGCTTCCAGGTTCTGTTGCTTGTTTATAGCACTCTTCTCTAGACCTCCCAACTCCCTCCTCCTCTTCCACATGCCACACTCCCCAAATCCTGCCCTGATGAAATCCTTTCTCTGAGCTGCTATTCTGTCATTTGTAAAATGGAGACTCATTATGTGCCCTGCCTTCTTTATTAGCTGGCTGTGAGCATCAAATGAGGTCATTCAATTCTACAAATGTTTATATAGGTGATTAACTGCCACAGCAATAGATGCCTTTGAATGAATACACTGACCTCCATGCTCAGTTCCGCCTGGCTGATGTGCATGCAGATTGTTCCCCTGTGGCTTGAGTAGCATCTTCTGCTCTAGGAGACAATGGGAAACAGGATCTCATTGACACAGGCCACCTCCTTTCCCAAGAGCCCTTCATTTTGATGACAAAGGACTCTTACCTTGCAATATGAACAAAGGCCAAATGGCTTGTCTTCATCCAGCATCCTCATTCAGAACTAGCCAACTGAGATCTGTCACATGGGGCCATGGTAGTGGGGCCTGCCACATCCCACCTCCCTATAAGCTGTCACACCAGCTCTTGGCAGTGTGAGCCTGGGCTGCTGGCCACTCTGTAAATGTAGCTACATGAGGAAGAAAAATAGACATTAAAGCAGAAAAGGAGGTACGATCCCTAGGGCTGCTTTCAGGATGACAAAGGGTCGGAAACAGCAACTCCTGAGAGCAGGAGCCATGCCTTTGCAAACACTGGGATGTGCACATACCTGCCTTAAGTCCATGCAAGGGAGTGTGCAAGAGTGTGAGAGAGAAGCTATGCCTCCCCAACTCCTCATAAGGAGAAACAGTTCAAACTCTTAGACTTTGATAGAACTTTCCAACATATGTGAAATCAGCTACCTAAATTATGAGTCATAAGTCACATACCAATTGCTATGGTTTGAATGTTTGTGTCTCCTCCAAAATTTATGTTGAACCTTAAGAGATTTATACCTTATGAAAGAGCCAGAGAGAACTAGCTGGGCCTTTTTGAGCCCTTCTGTTCTCTGGAGGATGCAGTGTTCAAGGCGCCATCTTGGAAGCAGAGACCGGCCCTCACCAGATATGTGGCCCTCACGAGACACAAAAACTGCAGTCATCTTGCTCCAGACTCCTCGACTGTGAGCAATAAATTTGTGCTGTTTACAAATTACACAGTTAAGGTATTTTGCTGTAGCAGCACAAACAGACTAAGATACCAACTGACCTGCGGATTTTGTGGAGAGACCTACCACTCCTACATCCTAGTACTCTGAGCCTCTAAACATGGCTTTCATGTGGTATGTCTATGCCTTGAAGTCCAGACCCAAGAAAAACAAACCCAAAGAGAGACGGGGGTTCCCTGCTTGAGTTTTCTGTCTAAAGACTCACTTTTCTGGATGATGGAACATGGGAGTGATTGACATTGGAAAAGATTTCTTACTTCCAGGCAAGCCCCATCTTCTCCCCACAGAGGAATGGCGTTCCTTTGATCTCAACAAGACAAGCATATCAGAAAACATCTTAATAATTCATCTGAGTGATGCATACATAATGTAACTGGCATTAGTGGGGGAAGACCATTTCTTTACAAGAACCAAAAGGGTTGCTACATCCCTAGCTCCAAGCACAGCACCTGGCTCAAAGCAGGTGCTGAGATTCTTATTAAAAGACAATTAAAAGAAAAGCAACTTGTCTTGGTCATGTTTGCTTAGCATCCTTCAAAAAAGCTCTTACTATATTATTACACACTTATTAAGATGTTTACTTAGATGAGCACAAAATTGAGATGCGAGCTTCATTCAAGGCAAAGGAGAGATCAGCTGGATTAAATGTTTTTCAAAAACTGGTAAAATGGAAGCAAGACCTTTCTTGAACCCACACACCTCCAAGATAATTCTAGGCATTTTATCCTTAAATATTTTATCTTTAAATAATTGTATACCTTATACGAATTGTCCCATGTTTCTGTCCTGATTATCCATCCCTTCCTAGCTTCCCACCTGCCCTGTCTTCTACATGGCTATTATCTTCATTTCATATCATCCTTTTTACCTGTTTTTTTAATGGTCCACTCCCTCAACCCCTTTTGCAGCCGCCATGGAATGGAGGAAAGAGCAATGGATTAGGGCAGGGCAGAGTTCAGATGGAGAAACAGAACTGTACTCTCCGCATGGCCAGGACATCTGCCTAACCTTTCTGAGCCTCACTTTCTTCATTCATCAACCAGAGATAGCATCTCTTATCTCACAACATTGTCATGAGGAATAGAAGAAAATATATGCAACTGTGTAGCCTGCTACACAATAGACTCTCAATAAATTTCACTTCTTTCATCTTTCCTTCTCTCCCTTTTGAAAGCAGTCAGGATATAAATTATACATAAATAAATTACATGTTGTGCTGGAAATCCTCAGAAATGATTAATCTAACCAACAAGAATTATAATATTAATAATAGGTTACTCTAGCAGCACCAGCCTAACTCTGACAATCAATCTACACAGTCTGGCTTTGTCATCATATAACATACAGTGCTCAAAGTTTACCTTAGAAAGAGGTGAGGACACGTGATTTCCCATTTTCAGATCTGTTTTAAATGCTCCTTTTTTTTTTTTTACATCGGGGTATTCTGTTTCACACCATTGCTTATGATACAAAGTGTAAGTAATATGTTTGCTGAGAGAGGAAAGACTGAGACATAATAGGAGACACTGCAGAGCTCCAAGCAGAATCTGAGATTGAAAGTAAGGTTTGGAAACATTAAGAATGTGCTGGAAATACTGATTTCTGCTGCTCAGTTCCCCGAAGAATGGATGGGCCCTTTTTGGAGAGTATGGCACGTCATCCCTGCTACGCAGAGGAGCAAACTGGAACTAGGGGCTTGAACAACTAGAAATATCTAGAAGATTTTGAGCCAAACTTCAGCCTAAGTATCTGCTAAGCTTTCTCACAGACTACGTTCAAAATTGAGTTTGGAAAAAACTGCTTCAAAGAACCCTTCAAGCTCTCCAATGCTGTGAGTTTATGATTCTGTATTTCTCTACGATTTAAATAGAAGCAAACAGAGCACCTGTGAGCATGGTCTCTGAAGTCAGCCTTCCTGGATTGAAGTCTCTGATCTTCCACTGGTTGTGTTACCTGAAGAGGAGACTTAACTTGTATGTGCCTCAGTTTCCTCTGCTGGAAAATTAGGATCATAATAAGGACTAAATAAAATGATGCTCGCAAGGTCTGGGGCACTGATCCCAGCAGGCAGTAGGTGCTCAGTCAGTCATTTCTTTATACATGATTAAGTGAACCTTCCTGGCTTTAGGCCAGTAAGATCTGCCCTGGCCTAAAGCTAGCAGGAGGTCACCAAAGCACCTTGGATATAGCAGGATTTCATACATCTTTACTGAATTGAAATATTTATTCATAAGGTGTAGTGATATCTGTTGCAACTTAGGTCAACCTTCAAATTTCCCATCCAAAACTTTCCCCACAATGTCAGCAATTTGTACCCACCTCTTCTGCCTTCACCCTCCCATGTAGTCATGTATGAGTTCTCCTTATAGCAAATGAATACAAGGATCTGCCACTTATGGGATGGGGGCCCATGAGAAAACTGGGATTATTACAGGGAAATAAAATGATGCTACTTCATTTGTATATCCAAGTGCTACATGGGCACTTTGACAATGACACAGCCACCAACCATTGAGGAGGAGAGGGGAAAGAAAGAGAGGAACTGACATTACTGGTGTTTACTCATTGCTAAGCAACCCTATCAGGAGATTTTCCCATGGCCATTTGTCCTTAAGCCAACGCTGCCAGACTCTTGTTTACTTTTACAGATGAGAAACATACATCTCAGAGTTGACTTTCCCAAGACCAGCAGCTAGTGGGGAAACTGAGTTTAGCACCTAGAGGATCGTAAGACATACAGCAAGGGATCCTCTGCCATTCCAAGAGTCATAGCTCTTAAGCCGACTGGCAAAACAGTACCCACCCCTAACAGCTACCAATGATTAGTGCCTAGGACCTAGCACTGTAACTAGCCAGAAACCAAAGCAAAATGCGCAGACCTCCCAGGAAGGCGGAGATGAGAGTCCTGCTGCCCTGCTCCACCCACTCTGCCAGTGTAGGCTGGCCTGAGGCCACTAGGGGGAGCCCTTGCACTAGGAGCAAAGGGAATTTGACAGCCCAATTATCAGTTGGGACTGCGGGGAGGGCTCCAAGTTCTCCCGAGAGCTTCCTCCACTGTTTTATTTACAAACTTATACACATAGGAGCATGAACCAGAGTGCTAAGGGAAAGTTACAGATGACTTTTGGCCTGGGTCCCCTTTAGCTTCAGAAATAGGCCCCCCAACTGACTGGGAGCAGAGTCTACACAGCAGTGTTGGCCAAACAGAGAGTCATGAAGTCAAGAAAGTGCTACCATTTATTTAATTCAATGGCATGTCATGGCTCAGAACAGAATGGAAAATATCAGCACGATTACACAAGGTAAGAGTGAGTACTGCTTTGGGGAGTTTTTCTTTTAGCTGATGTGTATGTGTGTTGAGGAAGGATGTAAAAGGTACATCTTACTGTGAGTCATTCATTAATAAAGTTTAAAATACATAGACCTCAAAGGCTTTTATAAAACCCAAACTGCCAGTCCCTGGGCCAGAAGCATTGATGCAGTGTTTTGTCTGGGACTTGAATCCTGTATTTTTGATAGATTCCCAGGCAGCTCTGGTGATCAGCCAGGTTTGGGAATCACCTGTTAGAGGAAATGGCCCTCAGGCGGGGTCTCCTCACCTGTGCTCCACCCCGCCTCTCCCTGGTCAGGACAGGAGAAGATTTCTAAGAACTTGACAAAGCAAGAAAAGTCACACCGGTTACACATAAAGCAGGGCGCAGGCCACCCACTCTGCCCATCCCCAACCCCGGGAGAGCTGAAAGCCCCAAAACTGGCAACTGAGGTTTGGGTTTCCATCTCCAGCTCTGTCAGAAAAACAAACAAACAAAAATAACCCCAGCAAAATAAAATCACTTTAGAGTCAGCCAGATCTGGGTTCCAACCCTGGCTCTTCTAGTTACTACCTATGTGACCATGGGCAGGTGTTACCATCTCTCTGAGACTCAGTTTCCTCACTTTTTTTTTTTTTTTTGAGACGGAGTCTCACTCTGTCCCCCTGGAGTGCAGTGGCATGATCTCGGCTCACTGCAACGTCTGCCTCCCAGGTACAAGCAATTCTCCTGCCTCAGCCTCCCAAGTAGCTGGGATTACAGGCACCCACTACCACACCTGGCTAATTTTTTTTATATTTTTGGTAGAGACAGGGTTTCACCATGTTGGCCACGCTGGTCTCAAACTCCTGACCTCAAGTGATCCACACACCTCGACCTCCCAAAGTGCTGGGATTGCAGGTGTGAGCCACTGCACCCGGCCATTCTTCACCTTTTAAAATGGGAATCCAAATGCCTCAATAAACACCAGGCCAAAAACAGGGTGCTCCTTTATGTTAACTCCTTTTCTGGCCTCCACTAAATCCCCCTGTGGGCTTAGGCATGCTGTCCTGCTGGGCTTTGGTTTCCCTGACCGTGAGAAAGGGTTTGTGAAATTAAGTAGCCGTCTGCAGGGGCGGAGCTGGCAGAGGTTGTTACTAACGGGGATCACACTGTCCAGCCTGCATGGTCTGTACTAACAGGAGCCTGCCATCCCCATTCCTTCACAGCTCCTGCTGCCTGGGCACAAATGCCCTGGAGAGTGAGTGACTGTCAGACCAGCCGGAGGGGAGCAACGGGAAGAGCCGCTTGCTGAGAAGAGGTGGGCTTGGCAGGACTGCAGGTGGAGTACTCTCCCCAGTCCCCTGCAGGTGCTGGTCTAAGCCAAGCTGGGAGGATGGCGGCCGGCCCTGGCCCAGCCCCAGGCAAGGGAGGAGCCTCGGCCCAGATGGGGCAGGTGGGGAGCCTGGGCTCAGGTGTGTCCTGTGGGAAGTGATTGCTCCCTGGCTAGCAGAGACAGAGGAAAGCGGATTGTTGGCCCCAGGACCCAGCTCTGAGAGGCTGGGCTTGTTTCCCTGACTCTGCCTTGGAGGAAAGCAATGGAAGGGGTAAGGCTGTCTCAGTTTTGTTGCTGGCTTTCTGTGTGTCTTTTCTTGCAGGACAAGTTCCTCCCACTTGAGAGCCCTGGGGAAAAACTGCTTGTGTGTGCTGCCTCCTGGGCAGGAATAAACATGTCAGGTGTCAGCCAGTGCATTTCTGCTCACACTGGCTTTGCTCAGGGCGGGTGGGAGGGAAGAGGAGTGTGCCATGTCCTGTGCCACCTGGAGTGTGAGGGGACAGGAGGTGCTGAGGAATGACAGCATGTGGCCTAGCTCTACCCAGCCAGCTGGACTCCTGACCTATTCCCAGATCCTCCGTTGAAGCGCCCGCTGGCTTCTCTCTGTGTTTACTTGCCCTTGTGGACTGTATCTGGCCTCTGCAGTGATTAGCGGGCCTCCTGGTCAGAGAGCAGTGCTTGGTGCTAGGAAGCCGGCTGTGCATTGCTCTTTTGTGGCTTGTGGCTCTAGACCGGGTTCTGCTCCTTGTTAACTGTGTGGCCTGGGGCAAGTGTGTCCGTCATCCTGAGCCCTGGGTCCCTCACTCATGAAAGAGAATTACTGGTACAATAACTACTTTGTGAGACTATCAGAGGTGCTTGTATAAATAGAGATGTATGGAAAAGTATCCTGCCCTACGCCAGCATTCCCTGCCCCTTGGATGGCTGAGTGCTGTTGGCACAGTTGGAGACGTCTTGCCTGACTGACCACATCTTCCTTTTTCCTTCTCCAATTCTCCACTCTCCTCTATTTCCGTCTTCAGTAAGTCAGTTTCTTTTGATGTGCGTGTGCATGTGTGTGTGTGTGTGTGTGTGTGTGTGTGTGTGTGTGTGTGTGTTGCTTCCATACTTTTTATTATATATTTGGAGTCAAGTCATTTTCTCCCATGAATCATGTGGCTTCTCACCCACAAGTTTGGTTTTAAATCAGGGCAGAGGATCCATTTTAGCTTTTGCTGGTCAGGAAAAGCTCCCCTTTGTCTCAGGGCAAAGGGCATGTTTCTCTCTGTGGCAAATCACTCCAGTCCAAATAGCTGAGTTTTGGAAAGGGGTGAGCAGGGGCATGTTGGTATGACTTCATCTCCCTCCTCTGAGTTCTCCCCGCCACCCCCACCTCGACCATACCACTTAGCAATTTTTAAGAAACTCCTCCTTGACGGGAAAGTGCCAGGCTGAATAGATTTAGCGTGCTTGTAAGAAAAGGAAACTGACTTACATTTTCCCCATCTCTGATGGGCCAGGATCCGCACTGGCATCCATTATTTCAGTTTATCTGATGACAATACAGTGTGGTCTATGCCATTGCCCCATTTATTGTAGATGAGGTAACTGACAATGTTATCACTTGCTCAGTATCATACCACTGGCAGCAGAGCTGGGACATGAGCTTACATGTGTCAGTGCCAACTATAAGCCAAGCATCGCTAGCAAGGATTACAATAGGACAGCAGGAAGAATGTTAGGCAAATTAGACAAAAATGTACAAAAGAGCATGTTTGTTAGCTAATCACATTTTTATGGGATAAGCTAATATGATTATATAACTTTCACTGCTCAGAGAGAGAAAAAAATCAAGAGAGAAATAAGAGTGGTTTCTCATCTTGAAAGAAGGATTGGTTTCATTTTTTAAAATTAACAAAATATTCATTTATTCAATATATATTTATTGAGGACATGGTTTGTGTGGTCAGGTCCTGCTTTGGTGCTGCAGATGCAGCAGTGAACCAAACGGTTGAAGATACCTGCCTTCCTAAACCTCATATTCTAGTGAGAGAAGACAAAAAAATCTATATATGGGTCAAATGGCAGTAACTGCAATGTAGATACACAAAGCAGGGAAGGGTATAAGGATGGTCAGGCAGGAAGAGGGACTGCTATTTTCAATGAGACCATTTCAAGAAAGGTGTCAATGGAAGGTGGCATTTGAGCAGAAACTTGGAAAAGGTATAGGAATTAATGGGCTGTGTGGATATCTTAGAGAAGAACATTCTACAGAGAAGTAACAGCAGATATAAACGCCCTGAGGCAGAAGGTCGTGGGTGTTTCAAGGAATGACTGGAGCTGGAGGAAGTGAAGGAGTGTTCAGAGAGTGGGGTCAGATGATATAGGGCCCTGGAGGCCATTGTTGAAACTCAAGCATTTCCTCTGAGCGAAATGGAGAGCCACCTGGGCATTGTGGACCAGGCAATGACGCAATCCAGCTTACATTTTAAAAGGATCATCTGACTACTGTTTTGAAAATAGATACTAGGGACAGAAAGTGCAGAAGCTGGCTGACCAGGTAGGAGATTATTGCAGTAATCCAAGCAAGAGAGGTTGGTGGCTCAGACCAGTCTTAGCAATGAAGTGGCTAGAAGTGGTCAGATGCTGGAAATAGATTAAAGGTAGGGTCAGCAGGATTTACTAATGGATTAGACAAAAAAAAAAAAAAGAAAATTGTTGATGACTCCAACTTGTAAAGCTGGAACATCTGGAAGAGTGGAATCAAGGTTTACCAAGATGACTTAACACAGAGCAGGTTTGAAAGCAGATTAGGAATTGGTTTTAGACGTAATATGTTTAGGGGGTCTACATAGGTGGGTTTAGAGTTCAAGGAAGAGGCCCAGGCAGGAGGTATCATCTTGATAATATATCTACATTATCTAGAATAGCACTGGGTGTGTAGTAGATGTTTAGTATGTGTTATATGGGGGATTTTAAAACTTGGCCTCACATTCTCTGACATCTTCCCATGAAGAGGTGGTGCCCATGTTCCCATCCCTTGGTTGAAATCATGACTACTCTGACCAATACAGTGTGGTACATGTGACACTCTGTGCTTTCAGAGACTGTGTCATAAAAGGTCATACCCCATCTACCTCATTTATGAGAACACTTACTCTTGCAGCCCTGAGCTCCCATGTGAGTAATCTCTACCCCAATACTTTCTGGCTAGAGACACGTGATGTAGACATTCTGCTTGACAGTTACAGCTAAGCCTAGCCTTCTAGCCATTCCTGCAAGACTAAAATCAGTACCCTCCAGACTAGACCAGCCACTGGTGAGATGCAGCCAAATGACTTTTACCAACACCCTGTGGAACAGAGGGAGAACTCAGCTGAGCCTCGTCCAAATTCCTATCCCACAAAATTGTGAAATATAGAAAAATGCTTTTTGTTTTAGGCCACTCAGTTTTGGGGTGGTTTGTTTTCATTAACAGATATCAGGACAATTATATATATCCTTCTTTCTGTGTAGTTATTTAAAAAGTCATTCTCTTCCCATAGACATAAGGTTAAAGTGAACCCTATAGAATTTTGTTTTATTGTATAGTTTAGACACCCAAAAAGGTTGATGGGTTTTTCTTTTCCTAAATCAGAGGTATAGCCTAGTGCATGCCCTCAGCCAGGTAGGTTTTCACTTAGTTATACAGTCATTGCAAGGGATAATTGTAGCATTTTTGAGCTGGGAGAGCTGGCCAGTCAGGGAGCTTACAAAATGGTGCTTGAATTTTTGATGAATGAGCATTGGAGTTGTAGTTGAAGTATACTTAAGTTTACTTTTGCCTCTTATAAGTGATTTGCACAAGTCATGGAATTATAAAATATAGGAGGTGGGAGAGTTCTCAAATACCAACCAGTCTGGAAACTCCCATTTTACAGGGAAATTTGAGCCACAGAGGCAGAAAATGCCAACACACTTCATAACGACTTATCCAGTGTGCCCCATTTACAGTGGCTGCTCCATGAATGTTCTTGTTCAATTTGAGGGTAAACTCAGAGTCAGATCTCCTCAGTAGACTCTACTCTCAGGCCCTATCTTGGAATTTCTGAGAAGGGCCCTATCCTAGATGCCATCTAGTTGTTCAGCTTTGCCGGGAAGAGTGTCAAGGAAACAGACAATTTTCATATTTGATGAAAAGTAGATTGATGGAGGAAGGCACAAGCTTTGATGGAAGCACTGAGTATGGATGCTTGACAAGGGGTGGGGTTCATCCTGGGCTCCTTAGAGAAGCTGGTGTCTTAGCTGAATGTCAGAGGAGGAGGAAGTGGCATTTCATCAGGGAACGCTCGAGTGAAGGAGGGGGAGAAGGCAGAAGGGAGAGCATGGGCGGAGCAGCAGAGATGGGTAATATGGCAGGGTGATAGTTGGGGATAGTTGGCAGCAAGGTGCTACTAGAGCAGAAAGTTTAAAAAAAGAGTATCCAGAGTGGAATCCCAATAAGCAAATAGGATCTGGATATTGAAAGGCCTTCAATGCCATATATACTTTATCCTGTAAGCCAAGAGAGCCACTGAGAGGCTTCACCTCTAAGATGGGAGGTCCAACTAAATATCACTGAGGTCTTGTCATGCTCTGACATTCTGGGATGGCAGTATGTTCCCAAGGTCACGCCTGGCTTATTTTTGACAGAACCCAGGTCTAAATGTCTGTGAAACCCCATGTAGGCTTCAAGAGCAATTTTGGAGGGTTTTTCATGAATAATTCCATTTTTAAGGAATAAGTCACAAGATAGGGTAACATCTACACAAGTGGACCTGCTGAGAGGATCTGTACTATAAGGATGGTCTGCTCTTAACTAGCTTGTTCTTGGGAGAGTAGACTGGGCCTGGGTTAAGTTCAGATAATTTAGGGTGAGGCTTTTTGTGAGTTCTGGGAGAATTTCTGAGAAGGAGAAAAGGAAAGATCACACAATTAGTCACAAGTCCAAAAGACTGGGCACATCCTGTTCATCTTTGCTGAGATGCTGCACCTCAGAGTCCTCTTGAATTGTGTTGTTTAGTCCTTGACAGTGACACATTAAGTGACCTGTACTACTGGAGGGCTGATGTCCTTTTCAGCCAGCCTTATGCAGCAATGCTGACTTCAGCATTTAGCCTGGCATTACTTTCCCATTGAGTCAAATCTTCCCTTCTCCAAACCACACACCCACATTTCCCCTGGGGAGAAATGGTCCTAAAAGGAAAATCTGATCATGTCAGTCTACTGCCAGATTTTCTCCAGTTGTTCCCCATTGCCCACAGAGTACAGCCCAAGCTCTGTGGCCTGGATGATAAAGCCGAGGCACTCTGGTGCCTGCCCTGTATACTCTAACTCGAGCCTCCTCACCCGCACCACATCCCTCATGTTCCAGTTTCCTAGCCTGCTGCATCTCCATGCACATTCTCTTCTTCAGAGTGCTGAACATCACTTCATTTATGACTCAGCTCAGACAACACCTCCTTGAGAAACCTTCCCTACCCCTTGGCCACAGTTGGTCTTTCCCTGCCTTGCAAGAGACCCTAGGCCCTTTGATCAGACCCAGGTCTAGACTGTGAGATCCCAGAGAGCAAGGATTTTTTCTTGCTCACAGAGGCAGAAAATCCTGGTGCTTAAGAGCACAGACTCTGAGCCAGCATGACTGGTTTACATTTCTGGCTCCACTGTTTACTAGTTGTTCAGTGTTGAGCAAGTTAATTAATTTGTCTGTGTCCCAGTTATCTCATTTATAAAGGAAAAAATAGTACCTATATCTTAACATTCAACCAAGGTTTGAATAAATTAATATGTTTAAAGAGCTTAGAACAGCTCCATGAACTCAAAGTGCAGTTAATTCTACAAACAATAACTTATAGTAATAACAGGTGGACTCTTATGGGTCAAATTGTGTCACCCACCCCTCCCAAACTCATGTTGAAGTCCTAACCCCCAGCACCTCAGAATGTGACCTTATTTGAAGACAGGTTCTTTACAGAGGAGATCAAGTGATATATTTTGGCTGTGTTCCCACCCAAATTTCATCTTGAACTGTAGCTCCCATAATCCTCATGTTTCATGGGAGGGACCTGGCAGGAGGTAATTGAATCATGGGGGTGGGTTTTTCCTGTGATGTTCTCGTGATAGTGAATAAGTCTCATGAGAGCTGATGGTTTTATAAAAGGCAGTTTCCCTGCACACACTCTCTTACCTGCTGCCATGTAGGACATGCCTTTTCCCTTCCTCCTTTGCCTTCTACCATGATTGTGAGGCTTCCCCAGCCATGTGGAACTGGGAGTCCATTAAGCCTCTTTTTCTTTATAAATTACCCAGTCTCAGGTATGTCTTTATTAGCAGCGTAAGAACGGACTAATACATCAAGTTAAAGTGAGTTCATGAGTAGGGTTAATCCAGTATGACTGATGTCCTTATAAAATGGGGGAATTTGAGCCTGGAGAGATGCACAGTGGTGAGACAATGTGAAGATACAGGGAAGACACCATGTGAACATGAAGACAGCCATCTACAAGCCAAGGAGAGAGGTCTGGTACAGATCCTTCCCCAACAACCCTCAGAAAAGAACCAACCCTGCTAGCATCTTGATCTTGGACTTTTGCCTCTAGAACTGTAAGGCAATACATTTCTCTTGTTGAAGCCACATAGTCTGTGGTACTTGCTGTGACAATCCTAGCAACTAATAAGTGAACCGTATCAGCAAATAAAATGAGAGAATTTATGTAAATAACTGTGTGCACTACTCTTCCCCCATCAACCTGGGAAGTGTTTTATATCATGTTGTTATTTTGACCTTTCCCAAGAGAAGAAATCTGAGAAGTGTTTATTGCCCCTCAGCATGGAAAACGGACAGAAATGATCCTGCGACCATGGTCAGTGTTCCTCCCTGATCACTGACTTCTGGGTTTTAGCTTTTCACATCTGTAAAACCTGAAATAACAAGCCCCTGGGGAGATTTTTAAAGATTAATCAAAATAATGAAACATTTTGTTAGGACCTATTAAATACAGAGAAGTTACAAATAAAGTGCTTCAGAAATAATAATTAAGCAATTTTGTATCATAATACTGGAAAAAGTGGTGGTTTTACTTATTACTCTTCATGGTATTGTTACTGTTAATCATCTTCCCCATTTTACAGACAGAGTAGAATCAGTATTCAAATTCAAACTGTGTCTAACTCCAGAGTCCCCATTCCTAACCGTTAGTTTGGTTCTTTTTACCATAGTCATGGTGAATGGCATATAGGACAGAGGTTTTTAAAAAAATCTTTAAACTGGAAACCTGAATTTGAGTCTAGGTCTGTCATCTACTTGAAATATGACCTTGAGCAAATCACTTATCTTCTGTGAGTTTCAGATTTCCCATCTCTAAGTGTGTCTAATAATAACTACTTGTCTACAAAATTATATAGAATAATGTATTTGAAAGTACTATGAAAAGGATAAAATCCTAGACTAATATTCATAGTTGTTGATATAATCAAAATTCTCCAATCCAAAATTTGTAGCAGAGCTGACATCAGAATTCAAACCACTTTCTGAGCCCTCTACCCTCCACTTTTGATGAATTAGCCAATGGCTTACCTCAAAGACCAGAGTGTGATCTTAGGCAAGAAAGAAAAAGGAAAAAAAAATGGTTAGGAAAGGTTTTTAACAACTGAAAAGTCGATGTAGAAAAACAAAGCAGCATTATCACTTAAACTTTTAAAAGATTAACAGGGAAGAACCACCTTCCACACCCTTTTAAAAAAATCATCCAAAAGTGTATGTTGCTGCTGTTTTTGTTTGTTTGTTTGTTTGTTTGTTTGGTCCATTACAACAACCTTTTCTCCAAGTTGTGGTTTGGACGAAATAGCATTGGATTGGGAGTCTCAAGACCTCTGGGTGACTTTGGTCTTTGCCACTCATGCCTGTGTAAGGCAATACATTTCTCTTGTTTGAGCCACATAGTCTGTGGTACTTGCTGTGACAACCCTGTCTTGTTCCAGTGACTGTCTTGAGTCATGGTCCACCTGGAGCAAGGGCTGGCATCATCTCAACAATGGCTGGGTTGTTGACAAACTGCCTGGAGGTAATCTCTGGAATTTCACAGCTGGGTCGCCATGGGCTGGTTTGTTTCAAGATTAGCCCCTGGAATTTCTAAGTAAGCACATAATTAGATAAGCTGGCAGTGCAAGGGAGTGTCAGGTGGGAAGGGAGGGAAAGAAAGTTTTAAAGTGTGTTTCAAGGCTGAAAGCAAGAAAGGAAAAACTTTTAAAATGCATTTTGAAGCTAAATTTCTTGGTTACAATACCACTATTCTAGAGTTTCTGAGAGAGAGAAACTCGTATAGAATGTGTGCTTTAAACCTTCAGCTTCTGGGTTTGAATCCCAGTGCTACCACTTTTTGGCTGTGTGAACTTTGGCAAGTTATTTGACCTCTCTGATTCTACCTGCCTGATGACGGTCCCTCCCCTAGAGCATCTATGATTTAATATATAGAGAACATTTAGAATCATGCCCGGTGCATACCTGCGCTCAGTGAGTGTTAGCTCTTGCTGCTGTTGCTGTTGATGATGATGATATCCACTGAAGGAGTTCACCATCTACTGAGAAACAGAAAAGTAAACAGATATTGATAATAAAAGATGGTAAATACAGTGATAGAGAAACACAGAGGATGTGAAGGATCGTGGAAAGGGGCAATGTATTCCAAATACAACTCCCTTCCAAAAAATCAGAAAAATGACAACATCACCTGACATTAGAGTCTTATTATTTCCTCTTGTTAATTAACCCAAAGAAAAATCTCTGTTAAAGTTCCATTAAGCTGTGCGTTCCAGGCAGCAGTGCCTGATGCATTTTGCCCTTCAATTATTCTGGCTCTTTACATGAAACTGGCATCTCTCAGCTAAGTAACAAAGTCTGACCCAGTGCCCATATGACCAACTCAAGGCCATCTCCATTTGGTTTCCTTAGCCCTTTATTTAAAGAAAAATCTTGCTAAAATTCTCTTTGATATCTTTCAGATTTTGCTGAGAGAAAAAGGTAGCCTCTGGGAGGGAGTGGAAAATGGGTGTGTGAATTGAGTCTAAGTCTAAACAGAGCAGAACTAAATGTTTACAGAGTGGGTCCCATGCCCCTTGTTCTGTACTAGCATTGTTAGCTGCCTCGGTGGGAAACAGGGGAGTGAGGGGAAGAGGGTACTTCATAGGGTAGTTTCACAGAATGACTAGAGCCAAGGGGTACAGACTGGAGTGAAAACTCCAAGAAAACTTCATGGAATGAGTTCATGTCCGTGAGTGCAGAAGAAGGAGGCAAAATTGGAGCATTTCTATTACTGGAAACTAAAATGCCACCTAACAGAACTGATACAATTTTTCCATCTGAAACCATCAGGTTGATTAATTCTGAACATATTTACTGAACATGTACTCTGCCACAGTCATTTCATCACTAAAAATCACCATGATCATCATGATAATCACTGTCTTCCTCTTCTTCCTTCTTTCCCTCTTCCCCCTCCTCTTTCTCTTCCTTCTCCCCTTCCTCCTCCTTCTTTCTCTCCTCTCTCTTTATCCATATCACAACTATCTTCAACAAAATATCATTATCGTGGGTTTGCTTTGTGTCAGGCACCAGGCCAAGGTTAATGTCTATGGCATTCCTAGGATGTGAAAAGCTGTATCCCCACTTCACTGATCAGGAGGTAGGAAAAGAGAGAAGTGAAATAGCTTTGTAAAGGTGAAAGAGTCAGAATTCGGAGAGGTAGGATTTCACCTTAAGACTTTTAAATCCAAAGCCCATGTTCTTAACCCTATTGCTGCACTTGAAGTTGCTCCTAGTCTAGGGAGGAAGGGGAAAAAATGTAAAAAAACAATTAGAGTGTAATAAACACTGCAATGGAGCAGGGACAGGAGCTCTAGGAGCACAGGGAGTGGCCACCCCTCACTGCATCCCTGATGGAAAGTTTCCTTGGGGACTTGCAGCTGGGTTGAGTCAAGTAAAACAAATATTTTTCAGACAATAAACATGGGTAAGAGCATTCTGGAAAGAGAGTGACATGTGTGCAAAAGCATGGAGGCATTCATTCCTTCAGCAAATATTCACAGTGTCTTCTCTGCTCTGGTCACTATGTTAGGAAACCCAAGAGGGAATAAAGGAAGAGCAAATCTAGTGAAGTGGATGAACTAGAAGAGGTAAGACTGGATGTAGAGAAAAAAAAATTCAGAGGGAGAGAGAAGAGGAAAATAGCTGTTAATAATATACTTGTATTATGTTTTACAATTTACAGTGCATTTTCACATGTCTAGAAGAATACCTTGTACATAGTTGGCACTGAACTAGTAATTGAACGAATGATCTCTGTAGACCTTTAAAGTTACCCATTTGCCTAGAAGTTCTGTGAGAGCAGAGAACATTTGTTCACCACTGTCACCACTGAAGTCTGCAGTGGGGCCACTGAGTTGCACAACTCCAATAGGTGCTGTTCACATGGTGGCCAATGTGAATGGTCTCTGTGATCACAATGTGAATAGTGATGTAGAACTATTGTATGCTATATTTATATCTATATATGTGTATGTGTGTGTGTAACAACATAATAGATGCACAACTTGGTAGCTTGGGTTCACATCTAATATAGAGGATTAATATTTATTGATTAAGCTAATGAATGAAGAAGGCAGGCAGGAAGTCTAGACAAAGATTACCATCATTCGGCTTTCTCTCCATGCAAGGATCATTAGTGAAATCTCTGCTGTAAACCAGCATATCCATTTCACAGATGGGGATGAGATATAACGTGACCTTAGAATACAGATCTACTCAGTGCTCTCCTAGTTAATGCTTTTCTATTACAGCATACAGTACACAGTTTCTCTTTAAAGCTAGCAGTGCATGGTTTCCTCCAAAGGGCCAAGGATGCTTCTTTCCTAAGAAACCAGCTAGGCTGCAGAATGTGTTGCTGGCCCCTCACAGCTGGCAACCTCCCAAGGTGAAGGAAATTGGGAGCTGGTGCCAGGAGTCTTTGTCAGGTATTGGTGTGTAACTAATTGCTGCTGTAAACCTTTCTCACAAGAAGGTCTGGCTTTGTAAGTTCTTGGAGTAAAGAAGATCCTGAGGTTTACTGAGTGGATTAGAAGAATACATATTTAGAAAGCAGAAAGGCTGTCAAGCATCAATTTTGGCTGAAAACATTTTGTCCCAGATAAAGGGTCTTTCAAACACCCTTTAGTTGCATTTCTTGACTGCTTGCAGCCAAGAATTGAGGCTGTAGGAGTATACTAGAAAGAGCTAGGGGATCAAGGTCAGTGGGTCTAGTTCTGCTATTTACTAGCTCTTTGGTCTTAGTCAAGTAAGTTGACTTGAACCCTCCAGCTTTAATTTCTTCATCTGTAAAATGGAGTTCATCACTTCTCTAATGCTGTATAGTGGCAGAGTAAACAAAATAATGTATGAAAAGGGCCTAACCCAGTGTGGTATAGTAAAACAATCTTGAGTATTGGAATCTGACCTCATTGTTAAATCCAAACTTACCTCTTGACAACAATGCAAACTTTGACAACACCAGTAATAATAATGATGGCAATAATAATCATAAGTAGCTCACATTTCTAGAAAATATACTATTTACCAAGTACTGTGATTCACACTTAACTTGGATTGTCTGAATTAATTGGCAATACAGTAAATACTATTATTGTTGCCATTTTATTGATGGGAATGAAAGTTAAAATCATCTAGCTGAAAATGAAAGGGCAGGGATCCAAACACAGATATCTGATTCCAAAGTCCAGAGCATAGTTTTCAATCCCTAAGCCAAACTTACTTTCTCTCCAAGCCTCAGTTTCTTTATCTATAAAACGGGAATTCCAACGCTTACCAATCTTGCTGGGTTGTTAGAAGAATCTGAGGTTCTATCTCTGAAGTGGAGATGCACTGCATCTACTGCAGTGGTGCAAGCTCAGTAATTAGTGGGGTGTGGTAATGGGTGACATAGAAGTAGCAGAGGCAATAATGATGAGCATGATGATAATGATTGGCACTCCAGATCTTAAAAATGACTTCCATTGCTAGTATTGGAAAAATAGGGTCCTGAATAGACAGAAAACCAGACAGGGGCTCCTTTATCTTCTTTAAAAAGCAAAAACATCTAACACCTGTAAAACCTGCCCCAGATGCATTTAGAATGGTGTCTCTGATTTCTTTTACTGTTTCTTCATGCAGCTGGGACTCTAATATAGAAAACAAATCTAAGAAATTAAAATGGCCACATCGGCTGAGGAGTTTACATCATAGCTGTGGAGTAAAAGCAATAAAGTGGCTCACAGAGGTTATTCAACCCTTCTTTTTTCAGTTTTCATTAAATTGCACTTTAAATAAAACTGTCATAAACCTAAAAGACACTGAGTGACTGTTCTGTCTGCAGCAGGAGAGGGCAGCAGGGAGAGCAGGAAACCCTTTCAAATAAGGACGCTCTGTGGTCGGTTTTTCCAGCTCCCTGGCAGGCAGTTTCTAGTGAAGCCTCCTGTTCTAGGCCCAAGTTGCAATGCTGAGTGAGTGTGGGGCATGTAATCAGGGATGGGCTGTAATTGGGTTGTTGGAGGACTTGGCATGTTTGCAGAGATCATAAATTCTGACTTCAGGCCGTGATCCCCAGGCTGCCAACTAAGTTAAACTTGAGCCTTTTGCTGAAAGCTATATTTTGAACTTGGCACCTGAGGGTATATATGGCCCAATTTTTCCTCTGAAACCCTTACCCTCACCACAAAATGCAGTTAAATGTTGCTTAAGTTTTAGTATCGAAGCAATATCAACCCATAGCATTTTTTGGTTTTGGCTGATTTCCTAAAAGACATCATAAACCCCATTTGTTTGCAATGAATAGTTATCTCCCTTTGTTTTTCACTTTGCTTTGGGGGTTCTCTATAGGCCTGTGCCTTGAGTGAGGGGATTTGAAGGTTGCAAAATATCATTTTGATATTCATGATCTCCCAGTATATTCTGTGAAGGAATTTTGAACCATAAATATGTAAATTTGTGTTGTTAAGTTTGTTTCTAGTGGCCTGTGAGACCTTTCAAGGGGCCACCCTAGCCCTATTTCTCCTTCTCATCTCACATTTCAGCCACACTCCCCACTCCAGAAACCCACACATGCCAGACTCTCTCAGGTTCAGGTCTTTGAAATGCCATCTCCTCTACCATTACTTTCAATGGCAAAAACCACAATTACTTTGCACCAACCTAATATAATCTCATTCCCCCTTTTGACAGCCAAGTTCCTATTTGTTCTTTATGTCTGTCTCACTTTCTCTGGAAAGTTCTCTCTGTCCCCAGTCTGGTTAGGTGTTCCCTGTCCTGCCTCTGGTGCTGCTCCATCACAGCAGGGACCTCAAGGTGTTGTCATCGTCTGTTTATGTGTCCATCTTTTCCATGAGACTGTGAACCCCAGGACAGCAAGGCCTGTGTCTGCCTCATGCATTTATGTTACCTGTAATAGGAATACAACAAATAATTGTTGGATGAGTCTGGAAAAGATGAGAGGAAACACTGTTATTAAGGAAAAGGCATGTCGTATAGCATAGAGTTGATTTTAAAACACCACAGATGTATTAGTCCATTTTCATGCTGCTGATAAAGACATGCTGATAAAGACTGGGTAATTTATACAGCAAAAGGGGTTTAATGGACTTACAGTTCCATATGGCTGGGGAGGCCTCACAATCATGGCAGAAGGCAAGGAGGAGCAAGTCACATCTTACATGGATGGCAGCAGGCAAAGAGAGAGAGAATTTATGCAGGGGAGCACACCTTTATAAAACCATCAGATCTCTTGAGACTTATTCACTATCATGAGAGCAGCACAGGAAAGATTTGCCCCCGTGATTCAATTACCTCCCACTGGGTACCTCCCACAACATGTGGGAATTCAAGATGAGATTTTGGTGAGGACACAGCCAAACCATATCAACAGGCTTTGGTGTCAGGGCTGGGTTCAGATCTTGGCTTAGCACCCATTTGCTATGTGTCCTGGTAAGCTTCAGAAAGCTCTGATCCTGACTTTTGTCATCTTCAGGGGGCACAGCTCAGAAGCCAGTTGTAAGGATTATGGTAATTGAGACAACATACACGACAACATACACAAGCTGCTATGTGCAGTGCCTGGAAATGCATTAACATAATAAGCACCTTTCATTTTCTTTTATCAAGAATTACTCCCAATTTTTCCCCAGTTACCCTACCCACAAATATACAACAAATGCTTTCTAATCTTCTCAGTTTAATTCAAAAGGACACGTATCGTCCATCTACTCTCTGTGTGCCTAGACACAGTGACAGAAGCACAAGTGAAAAGAAAATCTGATCTACATGTGCGAGTGGGGTGTGGTAAAGCAGACACGTATGTAAATCACTTTAATCAACAAAATTAGATAAGTGGAAAGACAGAGGGAAGCAGAAGGTACTAAAATGGAGCAAGTACAGACAGTTGGCCCAACCTAAGAACTGGAAAAAGCTGCTCGGAGGGATTGGTAACTCAGCTAAAAAATCTCAAAAGATGAATACATTTAGCCAGGCAAAGAAAAGCAGGAAGGGCATTCCGGGCAGGGGCAACAGCAGATGCACAGAGGCAAGTTCAGTTTTACTGCAGGGGTGAGTTAGAGGCAGGAAGTGGTGGGAAATGAAGCTGGAGCTGTAGACAGGAAAAGATCAGAGAAGACCTTATGTGTTTGGCTAAGGAATGTATGATTTACCAATAAGGTAACAAGGAGCCATTGAAAGATTTTAAGCAGAGGAGTGGCGTGATTGAACCTGCACTTTATTTATTTATTTATGTATTTATTTATTTATTTATTGAGATGGAGTCTCACTCTGTCACTCAGGTTGAAGTGTAGTGGTGCCATCTCGGCTCACTGCAACCTCTGCCTCCTGGGTTCAAGCCATCCTCCCCACTCAGCCTCCCGAGTAGCTGGGACTACATGCATGTACCGTCATGCCCAGCTAATTTTTGTTTTGTATTTTTAGTAGAGATGAGGTTTCACCATGTTGGCCAGGCTGGTCTTGAACTCCTGACCTCCAGTGATCTGCTCACCTCAACTTCCCAATGTGCTGGGATTACAGGCATGAGCCACTGCATCTGACCTGAACCTGCGCTTTAGATGCATCATTGGCATGAAATTAATTTGTAGTTCTCAAAGAAAGCCTTTTAAAAGATCATCCCCTCAGGAGGTTATTACTCCAGAAATATATTCACTCATTTCATTTGCTGTTAGTTTGGTAAATACTTATTGAGTATTACTAGGAGCAAATTTTCATGCTTGAAACTGTAGGCTCCACAAAGGTGAGCATGTATTTCTACCTGACCTCAAGGAGTTCATGGAATATAGGGCAGATGAAGCATCTACTTGAATAATTGTAGTAGGATATGGAAAGTGGCAAAGGGCATAAGACCAAAAGAGATTTGCAGATGAAGTGCTGTAAGACATGTTTTCAAATCCGTTCCTTGGACCAGGTGCTGAGCTGGCCTCACAGTAAGCACTCAAGGTTATTTATAAAATATGGACTCCTCGGAGCTTCTATTTCAGTGGGGCAGGCTCAGGAGTCCCCAGGATATTCCCATGCACAGCCAGGATTAAGAACAATTGCCAGAAGAGGTCTGAGGAGAAAGAGGTTAAGCTTTGAAGGGGCCATTGATGGTGGAAGCATGTAAGCTGTGCCTAGAAGAATGAGTAAAATTTGGACAGTAGATTTCGTGCTATGACATTCTGGACATGCCAGATGGCAGGTGAAGCATGGGCTGTGATGGGATGCAGGAAAACAAGGCCCACACTAGAGGGAGCCCAGGAGTTCTACGTGACTGCAACATAAAGCTGTGTGGTGGCGGTTTGGGACCAGATCAAGGAGGTGAAGGAATTAGCACTTTAACTGATAGATACTTGTGAAACACTATATTATTTTTTTAAATGGAGTGACATTTTAGACTGGAATTGTATTTTAGAGCCATCAGATCCCTGCAACATTTTTGTGTGAGGCTGGGTTACCAGTTAGAAAATGATTGCAAAAATCTAAGTAGCAGAAGACAACATGCTGAACCAGGGAATAACTATCAGTCCAGCTACCATTGATTATGCCTGGAGCTGAATAATTGTTTTGCTTTTTCTTCTTCCTTCTTAAGAAAATGTGAGGAAGTGGTTAGGGAAAAGTTCATGATCTCGTTACCCACAATTCCAAAATCCAATAAGCTCTGAAACCCACTAATTTTTCATAACATTTTTGGTTTCAAAAGCCTGCCTGAACCAACATGAGACAATTTATGGTCTTTATTTATCTTGCATTATATGAACATTAATATGTTTTACTATAGAAATGGTAACATGTTTGATCACAGCATGCTGTCTCAGACCACACTAGGATTTACGTATACAGAATTTGTAATATATTACCTTTCTAAAACTGGAAAAAATTTGAATTCCAAAGTATACTTGGTCAGAGGATTTTGTAAGGATTGTAGACCTAAATTGGTGCTGAAACTAAATCTCAGAGAATCCAAGCAATGTTTCAAAGAAAGAGGAAGACATGAAGACTGGGGTCTTGTGCAGGGAAAGAAATGGATGGAAGAGATTTTATAGAGAGGCTGCTAACACACAAATTTTCATGTTGATGCTAGGAAGATGATTGTGTTGATGTTAATGTACTATTGGAATTCTTAGATGAAAGTTCTAATGGCTCTGTAATTGGTGATGGATGGACAGAAAGGCCTTCATGACAAGGAGTGTAGGCACATGCAGACAAGAAAGTGCAAGGTGATATGATCTGAAATCCACCGAAGGGTTCCCTACACCAAAATATTTCCTCCTCTCTTATTGCCTTGAAAAGGCAATTGAGATTCTTCATTACTTCATTGAAAGAAGGCTTTGAAGTCCCTAAACCTTTGAAGGCTCCTGGGAAGAATAATGGCTTTCTTTCTTCTGCTCAACTCAATTTTTACTCTAGCTGCTCCAATCTGAAAATACAATGGAACGGCACACCTCCATGCCTGTGTCTATGCTGTTCCTTTAGCCTAAAATGTCTTGATAGCCCTTTTCTCTACAATGGAAACTCACTCATCCTTCAATCTTACTTCCTTTAGGAAGGATTTCCTGAATGGGCCAAGCTAAACTAATTCTTCACTAATTTTCATTTACACCATGCACTGTATTTATGGTTAGGTAATTGCCTGCATAACTACCTTCACTAAATGGGGATGAAGTGTTTCGAATTGCTCCAGCCCAGCTATCAGCCGAAGATACAATGATGGAAAGGCATAGTCCTTGTATTGAAAAAGATGAGGTTTAGTGGGAGAGGCAGACCAGTAAGTAGTTATGATAAGATAGAATATGATAAGCACCAAAACAGAAGTAAGCAGAGAGAGGTACTTGTTCCAGATGGGGAAGAAGCCAGGAGGATTGGGAAAGCAGTGCCTTACATGAGACTTGAATGAGTAGGAGTTGCCCACTGTGTTCTCCTGCTTGCAACTTTTAGAGGCTCCCCATTGCCTATGGAATAAAATCCTAACTCCTTCACTTGGACTCCAAGTTTCTGCATGCTCCCACTCTAATAGACAATTCCAGCCCCTAAAAACTGCAAAGTAGATAGGAGCTACCCTGGGTTTAATTCTGCCTCTGGTACAAATAAAGAGTAGGAAGAATGTTTAACCAAGGTTAGAGTTCTAGGCACATTTCATGCCTTTTACACATACCCAAGTAACTGTGGAGTGGGAGATAGGCAAGAATTAAGATGTATTCCAGAGACTGATTCTCATGATGGTCTATGGAACCCAATCTGGGTACATAGGGAAATGAAGATGGGACCGGATAGTAGAGAAACAGTGCTAAGGCCCATGAGGCTAATGCATTGCTGGAGTTGGGGCACCAGAAAAGGCAAGTGGGTAAGATGAAAGGGGGTGTCCAGGAGTAGGGTACTTGAGATTGATGTGGTGGAGACGGTTCATTTATTACTCATAGCAGGGTCTAAGGTGTATCTGTGGAAATTAGTGTCTAAAGTAGGGTGAAAGATGAGATCATCAGAAATGAGGCCAAAGTGTTGGAAGGATTACCTGCATGGATTTGGAATTTGCTTATTGTCATGAGAGTAGTAATAGAGAGGAGTGAGCTGGGTGCTTAAATCTTTAATAAATAAAAGGGAGTGATCAGGAATATTGTGGAAGACATCAATGGGAAGCAGTAGGTTTAGTTTGATATGCCCTTTGCAGGAGTTGGTCTTATTGAGGAAGAAAAAATAATTTGAAAGCAGCAGTGATGAGCTAAGAAAACACTTTACTCCACTTCCTGACCCAGGAATAGAGGAGAGTGGAAGAAGAAAGCCATGCTTGGGAGAGCACAAGAAGAGCCATTTCTTCAGGAGAGAGATGAGTTCGAGTTAGAGCAAAAAGGTAGAGGGCAAGTTCATAGAAGAGCTTGAGGACATGAGGAATTTTGCAGACTGAGGGTTAGGGTGGTCAGGGAAGGGTGAGAAATGGGATTCAATTGGCGATACTATAGAGGTCTGTGGGGAATAAGGCCCTTTGTTAACAGACCAGCTTCGTTTTCTCATGGTGACCAAGGTAAATGGGGATGTAAGTCTCACTGGCCTGATGTTTTAGGGGAAGACAAGTCATCGGCTAACTATCGCCTACCACTCAGGATGGGGGCTTAGGCAGCATTAGTGGTAATGCATGGGGTATTGAGGTGAGGAAAGCATGTGGTGTATTAGGACCATCAAGACTCTGGGCTGCCTTTGCTGTCTGCAGTAGGCAGTGTCATGGCTGAGGGACAGCAGGTGGCATATGTGCTTGCAACTAGAGGAGGCGCAGTCTCACCAAGAGCACTGGCCAGGGGCTGGGCACTTAGGGACTTTGTAACACTTAACTGAAACCTTACACCCCATGTGGTGAGTATTATTGGCCCCATTTTACAGATGCAGAGAGATTTAGTAGCATGTTCAAGGTCACACATTTAATGGAGCTGGTATTCTTGCTCATACCCAACCTGGAGGTGAAAAGTACTCATGTGACCTGACAGATAATGGGGGTGCAATTATTTTATTTTATTTAATTAATTAATTTATTTATTTTTTTGCCTTTACATAGGAAGCTTTTAATCTTTCTAACCTTAAGCTTTAACCTTAACTAACAACTACAGTGTCAGTTCAGTTCTGTTGTTCCTATCCCTTCATAGGAATTAATCATTGGTACCAAGAATACAGACAGTTTCACCATTATTATAGCTCTTATAGTAGTGAAGGTTGAATTGAAGCCCTTTTAGTCATGAAGGGTGACTCAGATGCTATATTTAATCGACTTCTACTTCTTTCCATCTTAGATAGGATTTGACAGTTACTACTGCCTCTCTTCCTGGGCACGTAATTTGTTGGCTTCTGCTGCCTTCTCTTTGCCTTGGATTTTGAGTTTACATATTCCTTAAGGCTCTTGGATTTGCTTACCACAGAGGAATGTTCAGACTTGTGATAAACCATTGCTGTTGACGTTGCCATTGTTTCTCCCTGTGGAAGGCAACAGTTAGCAATGTGCAGACATTCAGAAATGAGTTAACCTTTATTTTCCAATTAGGAAATGTGCATAGAAATAGTATCTTCTCCTTTTGGAACTTACTTTATATATATTTTTATGACCGCATTCACTCACCAAGTCACTATTAACTTATTGAGCACCTGCAGTCCTTGTCCAAGGCAGCTTGCTGTGCAGTGCAATGAATGCCATTGTAGATGTTAAGGCAGAGAGCGGTGACATAGAGAGGGTTACCTAGCAGCCCGTGGCAGCAGGGTAAACTCAGGAGAGGATGAAATAACTGTCTGTGCCATGCTTTATAAAGCAGAGATCAAAACGTGATTTGACACAGAATTTATTATCATTTCCAAATTTACTTTGAAAGGGTATAATACTGAGTTTTGTTCTTTGGTTCTGAATTTTCCCATCACCTTTTAAATTACATTAAATCAAAACTACCTTGAAAAACCCAAGATACATGGTCACAATGGCCATGTAATTTATTAAAATTTTTAAAACTATGCCAGTTATATTAAGTAAAATGTTTTGCTCATGTCGGTATAAATAAATAAAAAGTCTGAGAAAGTGTCTTAAAAGCCAATGCAAATTGGCTTCCTGGGATTTTTGTTTGTTTCAATGGTGTGATTAGAGCTACATTTTTAACATAATCTCTAAAGTAAATGTGACATATACAAAATTGATTATGATATTTTTATGAATTAATAGAAGAATTTTAAATTGAAGCTAAATTTATAAGAAAGGTATATTTGTCAATATATTTGTATATTTATTGCAGAATAAATAAAAGCAGTCCTGGAGTTACACAGACTTGGATTTAAATTCTCTAACTATGTAAACTGGGGAAAGTTACTTAACCTCTCTCTTAGTCTATCTATAATACAGGGTCAGTAACAATCGCCTAATTGGTGGGGTTATTGTGGAAATTAATTAAGACATCATATATAAGTGTTGTTAAGGATGATGAGGATAGAAAAAAATATAGTTATCTCTGAAACTAGCAAAGGGGAAAATATCTTCCCAAGAAGAGGAGGTTACAGCATTTATGCTCATGTAATCAGGTATTAGCTTGTTTCTAGAAAATTATTAGCCAAAGAAGTTTCTAGACCCACCAAGCAAATTCTTGGGTTAGAGGATTCCAGAATAGAGCATATGGGACTCAAAGCCAGGTTGTATGAGTTTGATTGCTAGCTTTGACCCTTCCTTGCTGCGTGACCTTGGACAAGTCACATAGGCCCTCGATGCCTCACTATCCTTGTCTGTAACCTGAGAATACATGGGTTTAAATTAGTGAATGTATATGAAGTGCTTAGAACAGTGCCTGGTATATGGTAATATCATGTGTTTGCCCATTTTTGTTATTATTATTATTATCATTATTCCTTAGATTCCTGTAACATAAACATTGAATAAAAGGCATCTGTTTGATGGAGTCTTTTTTCCTAGTGATGAAATACATTCATCTAAATATAACAATGCCACACTTGAAGAGCTGAGATTCAGACTTCTAACTATTTTACTCTGGTCTCTCCATTCTTCTGAAATAGCAATGTCTTTGTTTTTGTTGGCTGCTTCCTCCTTGCTTAATTTCCATATCAAAGAGATAAACCCCTTCTGTTTAGAGGACACCACTGTCTTTTATCTTAGGTTGTTCCCACAATATCTCTCGAATTGTTTTGGCCTGTACTTCCCAGATGGGTATTTGAGGCTTGCCCAGTACAAATCAAAAGTACCAGGCTATTTTCCAGGGCTATTTTTAGGGCTGTCTTTTGACATGATAGCAATTAGATCATTTGTTTCCATGGGCATTCTAATCTGCTTTCACAAAGATGACACAGGAAAAAATTAAGATTCTGCTGAGTTACGGTTCCTGCATTATGTGAACCAGCTAACTTTTCTAAATATCTATTCACTGACTCATTCATTCACCAAGGATTTCGTGGGTCACTTCTGCCACTGCTGGGGATACCAACATAAATAGGATACTGGCCCTGTCTTAAAGGGGTTCAGAAAGACTAGTGAATTAAGGATTCATTCCTTCACCGCATTTTTATTGAGGCACTGGCACTACAGCAGTGGGCAAATACTGAAATACAAACAAAGTACCCACCTTCAAAGAGTTTACATTCTGATGGAGGTAGACAGACCATCTGATGGGTTTTGATAGGTGCTATAAAGAAAAACAAACCAGGCTGTATCGGCCAGTGTGTTTTGTTGTTGTCGTTGCAGATACTCAAACCTGTTATTGTAAATATGAATGGAAAAGGATTTACAAGAAATTATTTTAGGAATTTCCAGAACTGGCAAGAAGCTTAGATGCTAGAGCTAAGGGAATGGGGCAGTTCCTATGTGAATCCATCGATGCTGCTACCCACCACGTAGCACAGGAACCTCTGCCACAGCTGCTCCCCAAAGCACATGCTATTCCCTGAGCGGCCACACCCTCAGGGCCTCATTTACCAAGCTATGGACACCTCTGTTGGGCAAAATTCCAGATAAAAGAGTGCCTGGGCGTGGTAGTTCCAAGCTTCCCAGGCTCTGTGCCAGGGGAAGGCTCACAAGAAAGGGTTGGATGAGCCAGTGTATACCCAGGGTAAGGTAGGTAGAGAGTGAAGGAGAGATGCTGCTTTACCTAGAATGGTCATGAAAGAGGAATCAGTTAGAAATTGCCTTTAGCTGCTCACCAGGAAACCCATCAGTAGTTCCTCACCCACTGTGAAGATTAAGCCCGATGACATTAAGACTTGGCCTCTCCTTTCTTCTCCAGCCTCATACACTGTGCACTGGGGCTTCAGTTATGTGAAATTGCTGCTGCTTCTCATATACATCATGCTGTTTCCAAGATTGTGCCTTCTGTGTTCATGCTCTGGGCTGCCTTCCTCTGTTCTTTGCTTGGCTGACTGTTTAAGCTGGGGAATCTCCTCTAGGAAACCTGCTTGGCAACCAGGTTTGCATCATAAGCCCCTTTTCTATGTTCCCTCCACAGACTTTGTGCCATATATTTAATAATTCCCTGTATTATGTTAAAACAACCAATTTGTGTCTGTCTCCTTCATTTTCTGAGTTCTGAAAGGTTGGGGTTGCCTCATTCATCTTTGTAACCCTAGTGCCTAGTGCATAGTAGGCAACCAACAAATATTTTGAGATGACACGAGTTAAATTTTGAACGAGCAGGAATGTGCTAGTTCAAGAAATTAGAGAGAAAGATGAGCATTGCAGGCAGCACATTCAAAGTTACAGCTACATGAAAGGGCAAAACAGGTTTGGGAGAATGTCAGCAATTTAGTGAGGCTAGAAGGAAGAAAGCATGTTGGGGGGAGGCCCAATGTGACGTTGGAGCATTAAGAGGGTCGGGATTAGGATGGGTCTTATGTGCTAAGCAAAAGAATTTGAGCTTATTTGAAAGCTTTGAGGATGCTAAATTGAAGGTTTTAAAACACGTAAGGGACTTACATGATCAGATTTGTTTTTAAAGAGGTTTGTCTAACAGCTGAGTAAATGGTGGATTACAGGGGCTCAGAATGGAAGCAGAGAGTCCATCAAGAAGTCATTCGAAGCAGTAAGTGAGGAAGAATCGAAGGGAGGTGCTCACGGGCTGCTTAAGAGTTCAGATCAGTGGGATTTGGGGATTGACTAGCTGCGGCAGCTGAAAAATGGGGCATGGTTTTAACCAGAAGGACCCTATGGCCACCTCCCAAACCATCTTCATGCAGTTTTCCTCATGTCCTCAAACCTGAACTTCCACCTATGGGTGATGGATAATAAAAAACAAAAGGCATCACATCTATTTCCCATCAATTGTAAGGAAAATAAAATCTAAATATTAGTGCTGGAAGGGGCTTCGGAGATCACCCAAACCAACCATTAATTTGATGTATGGCTGAGCTAGAGAGAAGAAATTACTTTTCTACTGTAGCTCTGAAAGTCAGTGGTAGACACCCAGTCACTATTGCATCATCTGCTTAATTCTCCACATAGCACTTTGTCTCTAATATTTTCTTGTGTAATTGCTTATTTTCTGTCTCTCGTTGACATTACAACAGAGCCCTTGACTGTCTAAAACAATGTTTGGTCTGTATGTAGATACTTAATGAACATGCGTTGAAAGAGTAAAGAGCCAGGTATAATCAGGTTTGCTCCCCGCTGAACTAGTGATCCTTGCACAGGACCTTGGTTTGGAGGTTATCAAATCCATAATTCTATTTCATACTAGGGCTTTGCTTAATTAATCCTACAGAGACTAAAATCTAAGCAACAACATTGTACAGTAGTTGTCCATGTGGCTTCAAATAGTGAAGAACTGAAAATAATCATTATATTACTTTAAAAATATTAACCACTGACAAACTCATAACCATTAGGATGGCTATTGTAAAAAAAAAAAAGTGTTGGTGAAGATGTGGAGAAATTGGAACCCCTGTACACTGTTGGTGAGAATGTAAAATGGTGCAGTTGCTATGGAAAACAGAAGGGAGGCTCCTCAAAAATTAAAAATAGAATTACCATATAGTCCAGCAATTTCACTTCTGGGAACACAACCAAAAGGACTGAAGATAGGATCTCAATGAGATATCTGTACACCTATGTTTATAGAAGCATCATTCATAATAGCTAAGATATAGAAGCAATCTGACTCTCCATTGACGGATGAATGGATAAACAGGATGTGTTATATATACACTATGATATATTATTTAGCCTTAAAAAGGAAGGAAATTCTAACACATGCTTCAACATGGCTAAACCTTGAGGCCATTGTAATAAGTGAAATAAGACAGTTACAAAAAGACAAATACTCTATGATTCCTCTTATACAGTACCTAGAATAGTCAAATTCAGAGACAGAGTGTAGAATGAGAGGGTGGAATATGGACTTATTTAATGGATATGGAGTTTTATTTTTGCAAGATGAAAAGAGTTCTGGAGATTGGTTACACAACAATGTGAACCTACATAACACTGCCAAACTGTACACTTAGAGATGGTTAAGATCTCTAAGTGTACAGTTTGGCAGTGTTATGTAGGCAGTGTTTTATGTGTATTTTACCACAATATAAAAAATATTTATCACTGAGGTGTGTATGTGTGTTATCTCATTTGATTCTTACAATAACCCTGAACTGCTGTCAGAAATATAAGTTTCATTTCATAGTGAGGAAAATAAGGCTCAACAAAGTGAAGTGAATTGCCCAAGGCACGTAAGTGGAAAATGGATAAGTGGAGTTTCACACTCAGATCTCCTGATTTCATGCCCAGTGCTGGCTTCTGCCACGTCAGGGGAGAGAAAGTGTGGTTAAATTAACTTGTCTGCTGGCTATGTGTGTGCGTGTGCCTGTGCGTGTGTGTGTGTGTTAGAGAGATAAAGAGAGAACAGAGAGATGAAAAAGGAGAGAGAGTGCATGTACTTAAGCTCCCTGACACTTGCTTCATGCTTCTTGTTCAATTTTCCTCCCTTCCAAAATCTTCAGAAGGCAGGTGTGAGTCAACTGTAAATATGGTGAGAAAAGGTCGCCCAACATTTCCTAAGCTGGCAAAATCAAAAGTCACTGCCATGGAGATGGTCTGTGTAAATGAAATTAAAAAACCTTTAAGATGATCAGGAGAGGATAGTGGCTCTTATTTTTTGCAATGGCTCCATTAGACATTGTCCTACTTCCTGCGAAAGCAAAAGATGACAGAACACATTTACAAAATCTAATGCAGTTTAGTGGGAGGAAGAAGGACCAGCAGGAAGAGCATGGAGCAGGAGGTAAGCCTACACCTACCTGGCCGGACCACCAATCAACTCACTGTATAAACCCAGTCATGCTCCTTCCTCTGCCGCAAAGATTGGGCTCCCATTACTACCACAATTTTCATATACCAAATTGGAGCTGAATTTAGAGGGAAGAGCATGATCATTTTCCAAGGGGAGTTAAAAATGCAAGAGCGTCATCTAGCCTCTTATAAAGAACTTTTCTTTATCATGGGCCTACTATGTGTCAGGCACTGTAATGGACATTTCACTTATAATGGCCCTAATACTGCTACTGTTTGACAACTTATTTTTATAAAGCACTTAGAGGGAAGATCAAGTTTCTCAGAGTATTTCCCTAGAGGATAAAGAGTGGAGTCTTCATGTGAACATAAGTCTGTCTAGTTCCAAAGTTTGTTCTTTTCTCCATACCATAGCATTAAGTTCAACAGCCAAGATATAAAAAGCTATGGAAGTACCAAGGAGACAGGAAAGAAGTTAGCTGTGTCTGTCATCCACAGGTGAAAGCTTTTTTTTTTTTTTTTTTTTTTCAACTTTCGTTTTAGGTTCAGGAAGTACAGGCACATGTTTGTTACATGGGTAAATTGTGTGTCACTGAGGTTTAGTGTATGAATGATTCCATCACCTAGGTAGTGAACATAGTACCCAATAGGTAATTTTTCAAACTTTATGCCCCTTCGTTCCTTCACCCCTCTCATAGTCTCCAGTGCCTTTTGTTTTCATCTTTATGTCCATGTGTACTCAGTGTTTAGCTCCTACTTGTAAGTGAGAACATGCAGTAGTTGGTTTTCTGTTTATGTCCTTTGTCCATTTTTTAATGGAGTTATATTTTTTTTGCATATTGAATTAAGTTCCCTAGGTGAAATATTGATGGATTAGTAGGCAGCGAAGTGCAAGAAAGGTGTTGACAAGCTGATGGGGATGCATTTTGTGAAGCAAGAACACAAACCAAACTCCAGGTGATAGAGAGTAGGAGGGTCTAAGAAAATTGTAAACAGTTCTGTTTGGTTTAAGGGTAGTTGTGTTTGGCTGTGGTTGGAGATCATAATTCCACCACCTTTTGGTGGACCTCATTGTGAAGAACCTTGAATTCTGTATAAAGCAGTTTGGAATTTATTTTTATAGGTTGTGGGGAGCCATCAAAAGTTTGTATCAAGGGGTTTCTCCACTGTTTTTAGTACTGTATATAGGTGTTCTTTATGTGCTGTGTGAAAATTAAACATCCCTGGAGTGTTTAAGAAAGAGATAGTGTTTTCATTGTATCTCATATAGACAATAGCATTGCTGGCTAACATTGCCCAGAAGCAATTGCGTTATATCAGCAGTTAGAGTCCCTTAACATGGTGAGATCAGTGAGATCTAATCACACTGACTTTTTTTCTTGGAATAATGAGACACTTGTTTTTGTTGTTGTTGTTTGTTTGTTTTTGTTTTTGTTTGTTTGTTTGATTATTCTTTGCCTTAGGAAGGGGTAAGAAACTTCAAGGAACTTCGAGCCAAATTTCAAAATCTTGATGCTCCACCTCTTCCAGGACCTATTAAATTCCCAGCAGGTGTTTCTCCAAAGGGTGACATTGGAGGCACACAGTCAACTCAAATTTTGGCCAATGGGAAACCCCTCTCATCCAACCACAAGCAGCGCACACCATACTGTTCCAGTAGTGAGTCCCAGCCTCTTCAACCTCAGAAAATAAAGTTGGCTCAGAAGAGTGAAATTCCAAAATGTTCTAACTCCCCAGGGCCTCTGGGAAAGTCTACTGTATGTTCTGCAACAAGTTCACAGAAGGCTTCTCTGCTGTTAGAGGTGACTCAATCAAATGTTGAGATAATCACTAAGGAAAAAGTAATGGTGGCCAATAGCTTCAGAAACAAACTCTGGAACTGGGAGAAGGTTTCATCTCAGAAAAGTGAAATGTCTTCAGCCCTTCTCCTTGCCAACTATGGAAGTAAGGCCATCCATCTGGAAGGGCAAAAAGGCATGGGGCTTACTCCAGAGGAACCCAGGAAAAAGCTGGAAACAAAAGGAGCCCAGACTCTTCCTTCCCAGAAGCACGTGGTGGCCCCCAAAATATTACATAACGTCTCTGAAGATCCCTCTTTTGTAATTTCTCAACATATCAGAAAAAGCTGGGAAAACCCACCTCCTGAGAGGAGCCCGGCAAGCAGCCCCTGCCAGCCCATCTATGAGTGTGAGCTTGCCAGTCAGGCCCCAGGTAACAAACGTGATCCCCATGGGACAGGGGCTAGGGAGGTGTCATCATGTTTTTCTACTTGAAAACCTGTTGATTCAGAGTGGTTATGTATATGACCTGGGAAATGTGGCTCCAGACTCTCCACGTGATATTCTAGGCCCATCTGCTAAATTGTAACCTCGGGTTTGAGTAAAGTGCTTAATCTCCTGGAATTGCTTTGTGAGATAGCTTTTGGAAAAACTTGGATTTGAATCCTAGCTCGACTTCTGACAAGCTGCATGAATTTAGGCAATTTATATAGATTCTTAGAGCCTGAGTGCTCTCTTATAACTCAAATCTGTCACCAATCATCTGTCTTGGTAAACAACACAATTATTCTCCTAATTTCTCAGGCCAAAACTTACGAGCCATGCTCTATTTCCCTTCTCCTCCCTCATTCTACACACTGAATCTGTCGGCAAGCTCTTGGTTTTGCCACCAAGCTCTTGGTTCACCTTAGTATTATCTAAGTTATGAAAGGATAAGGACTGGCTGGGCACGGTGGCTTATGCCTGTTATCCCAACATTTTTGTAGGCCAAGGTGGGCAGAGTTCAGGAGTTCAAAACCAGCCTGGCTAATATGGCAAAACCCCATCTCTATTAAAAATACAAAAATTAGCTGGACATGGTGGCCTGTGCCTGTAATCCCAGCTACTCGGGAAGCTGAGACACAAGAATTGCTTGAACCTGGGAGGCAGAGGTTGTAGTGAGCCAAAATTGTACCACTTCACTCCAGCCTGGGCAACAGAGCAAGATCCTGTCTAAAAAAAAAAAAAAGATAAGGACTGTAGTTTTTTACTACCATATCCCTAGCACCTAGAAGAAAAACGCCAGATTGAATAAGTCCTAAAAAAAAATTTGTTGAATGATTGATTAAATGGATGGAAGGCTGGATGGATGAATCTCCTTACAACCTTGTATGGTTTCTGTTTGTACTTGGAATAGAATCTAAACTACTTGCTTTGTGGTCTTCATGGCCCTGCATGCTGGTCCCTGCTTTGTGTCTGACTTATCTCCTACCTGTCTTCCCCGAGCTCTCTGCCCATAGTCAACACACTAGATTTCTTGCTGTTCCTTAAATAAGCTTTGTCAAGCCTCAGGACCTTTGCACTTGCCATTCCCTCTTCCTCAAAAACTCTTTTCTTTAAGCTTTTGTAGCTGCATTTAGGCCTAAGTTCAAAAAAAACTTTCCGAGGTCAGCTTTCTCTAACCTCTCTCTATAAAGTGTACTGCCTCATCATCAACAGCTCACACTTGTCATCCTACCTTATTTCCTTCATAGAACTAATGGATCTCTGTAATGCTCTTGTTTATTTGTTTACTTGTTTATCATCAGTCTCTTGTTATTAGAATAAAAATTCCTGAAGGTAGGAATATACATGTTCTTGTTCTCAACTCTATCCCCACTTCCTAGAACAATACCTGGAATATAGTAAATAAATAGTTATTGATGAAGGGATGAGGAAGAAGAAAAGACAGATGGGAAGAAAGATGTATGGGAAGAAAGATGGATGAGAGAAAGGAAAGAAGAATGTATTATCTACCAGATGGAGCTACTGAGAAAGTTAAGTGAGATAACGGATGTAAACTACTTAGCACAGTGCCTGGTAAAAACTCTGAGCCCAATTAGTGATAATTAGTATTCACTATGTCTTCTTCCTAATTTGATAATGACTGAAGTTTTTGACAACGCTACTTGTAATTCAAGCCTAAGAAGAGAGGAACTTTGGGCCCGAGTTTCTGGGGATGTAACCCGCTGTGGGTGGAGCAATAAGGAAGCTTTCCCTCCCTTCCAGCTTGTGGAGGAGAGCAGGAAGTCTCCCAGGAGTATATGCAAAATGCTAGGCCACTTCTTAAGTTTTCACATGAATGGCCCATGTAGTCAACTACTGTCTTACATAAATGAAAAATCAAAGCAGTTGGATTACATAAGATTTTGTGCTATTTTCACTGTAAAGGGCAGATATGATTTTCATATATAATATTGGACTTTCTGTTGGAGTTGGATTTAAGACTGCAGAGGACAAATATATGTAAAATTGGAACTTTCCTGGAAAATTCCAGGACACAGGTGCCCAGATATCACAAAGTCAGCCTTGAAGCCAGTCCTAGGCTATGAGCCCTGGAAATCCCAGATCAATTCTTATTCCTTTTTATAGAGCCACTTATTTGCATGTCATAAGTGCTTGAAGAACACTTTCAGTAAATAGTCACAGCCTCTCTCCTATGAGGTAGGCCCTGTGCTTGGTGCTGGGGGATCAATACAAAACCATCCCCACCCACAGAAGCCTTTGTTAAATGGGAACATAGACCAGTGCCTCCAATGTGCCATGATATTGATGTAAGGGTATTAACAATGTGCTACAGGGATACAAATCAGAGGTTGATTCTGGCCTTGATTCCTGTGAGAAATCAAGAAAAGCTTTCTAGAGGAGGTGTCATTGGAGCAGAGCCTTAAAAGAATGAATTGAAGTTTGCCAAGAAAGGGAAAAGTGTTCCAGAACCAAGAAAAACATGAACAAAATTTTGGATATATGAGAGCTTTTTAAGGCTATCTAAATCAAATACGGAGAATGGAGAAGCCAGTGATGTGTGTGAAAAATATTTGGGCTTTAAGTGGGGGGAAGCAAGACATATAATATGCCAAACAAAGAATCTAGAAACACAGATGGGTGCTGTGTGGTGTAGAAATGGCAGAGATGGAGTAACCAATGTCATGCTGAGGAAATCCTTAAAGCAGCAGCATGGCAACTGATCAGGTTTATGTATTGATCAGGGCACTCTAGCTGTTGGGTGGAGAATAGATTGGACGGGACTTAGATGGAGGCAAGGAAACCAGTTTTACCCACAAGCTATGAAATGAAAATAATCATAACTTACATTTTTTACTGTCTTGTGTTCAGAAAAACAGCCAGATGTCAGGCATCACCACCTTCCCAAAACAAAGCCATTGCCCTCCATCGACTCCCTGGGTCCTCCTCCCCCAAAGCCTTCAAGACCTCCCATCGTGAACCTCCAGGCCTTTCAGAGGCAGCCAGCTGCTGTTCCCAAGACTCAGGGGGAAGGTAAGGAAATGCACAGGGCCCTACACAAGGCCAACCAGGAGTCACCTCCGTCTCCACATCCTCTCCCAGGTGACGATGCCGCTGCTGCTTTTCCATGAGGCTGGACATCCATCACTGCTTATTCTCATCTAGAGGCTGTGGCAGCTTGCCCATGAAACGATGTCTCTGTGGGAATTGGCCCTTTATCGCTCCTAGACCAGCCCACTTCCCCTGAGAGCACTGCATTTGATCACTGGGAATCTGTCCAAGAGGAAGAAAACAGAAAGTCGCTGAGCAGGGAGTCACTGAACCTTTGTGTTTCCTGCAAACCTGTGTTGTCAACACAATCCATTTGTGCAGGAGAAGTGGGGAGGGAGTGAAAAGGGAGAAAGTCAGTGTGAACTTGACCTGAAATCCTTAGGGGGAGCCCCTCAGGCCTCCATAATCTGCTTTTGGTAATTAACTGAAAGCCTGCAACCCCCAACCCTCTGATCCCTTCCAGAAACTGAAACATCTTTGGAAGCCATTTTTCTGTGCTATTTTGTGTCTTCTTCTATTTAAAGGAACACCTCTCATCCCTCACCACTCCCACCACAATCTGATCTTGTTGACATTTTAAATGCCTTAGCTTATGTTTGCTCTAATGAAACACAAGATGAACATACACTTTGGGACAAAATGTACTGCTGTGCTAACATTTGTTTTACTGTGGCCATCAGCACCAGCAGATGGCAGGTACACTGAGACAGCTAACACAGTCTTTGTTCATTTTAACTGCTTTGGGCAACTTCATGGTTAAATTACTCTGACTTCATGATTCTCAAACTTGAGTGTACATCAGAATCACCTAGAGGACTTTTTAAAACATAGATTGCTGGGCTCCATTCTCAGTTTCTGGTTCAGTTGGTCTGAGTTGGAGCTTGATAATTTGCCTTTTAACAAGTTCCCAGAGGTTGCTGAGGCTGCTGGTCCATGGACCACACTTTGAGAACCACTGCTACAAGTCATCTTAAGTCTTATCCTAAAAGAAAATTCTATATGGGGAGATAGGCTCTTATAAGTATACTTTACTGATATGGACAGCTCCAAATCAAAGAAGGATAAGTGTGATTTTTATAAACATTAAATAATTCAGGCCTCAAATATTCTCTCTGAATGAGAAGAAGGTTTGTCAGCAACATAGAACAAAGTACTAAGTCTTTTGCCATAAAATGGGCTTTGTAGATCCCAGCTTCTGAACTCACTAGCTATTTAAGTTTGGGTTTGTTAATCACTGAGCCTCATTTTCCTTATCTATAAAATAGGGATAATTTCCTTATCTGTAAAATGGGGATACCACTGATCTCTTAGGATTATTGTGAGGATAATGAGACATGATGCCCGGAAAGGGCTTAAATAGTGCTTGGTATACCAGGAAGTGCTCTGTAAATGTCCAAGTTTATTTGAAACAAACATTGAGCAGCTATAATCTCTGTACCATGTCCTGTGATGGAAATGAGAGATTAAGAGATAAACCCCACAGGGGTTCTGGTCTTTAAGGAGGTCAAAGTCTAATGCAAGAGATTGTACCCATAAATAAGAAATTGTACTGTAAAGTGTGGGTGAGTGCTGCAATGCAGGGACAGGCATCCCCTGGGTGCTGGGGTGGAGGTAAGGGATGTTTCAGGCACAGGCAAGCTTCCACTCTCCACATTATCTGTGGGATCAAGTCATCACACAAGCATCATTCACTTTAACCAGGCTGCTGCAAATGCCTCTTTTTCATTCCGCCTCTTTCTCTTGCAGTGACTGTGGAAGAGGGCTCCCTGTCTCCAGAGAGGTAAGTACATGCTCCTTAGTTGTGTAGGAACGTAGCCCACCACAGAGGCTACTTAGACTGCTCCAGAGCAGGCAATTAGCACAAACCAAGAATCTGTATTTCTCAGAAGGGTTTCAGAAGCAGTGAACTTATAAGCAACAAAGTGTAACTTTTGTTGTAAAGAAAAGATTAAATAAATTGCATTTAACACGTACTGATGTTAAGTTGCAAAGATAGTCCTCAGAGGTCCTTTTTTTATTACACACTTGGGTTCAGTAAATTGAAACATCACCCTTCATAGTCATAAATTGAATTAGAGGCTAAAGAATGCTCTGGGCAGCTGGTGTGATGTTAGGAATTGGTAATAGGATAAAGGATGTTCTATTTTTGGTGTACTCCTTCTAAGAATTTTGCCACAGAAGTGTCAGTTCATTTAACTCACTTAACCAAATAATATCTATTGAGACCTTTGATGTGTCAGGCACTCAACTGGCTACTTTATACAGATTTCTCATTCTGTTCTCTCAAGAGGGCTGCACAGTTGCTGCTGCCGCTCACATTTTACAGCTCAAGATACTTGGGCTCAGAAAGTTTGCCACTTGCTGAGCCATGATTCCAACCCAGATGTGCCATAACTACACTGATTATATACCTCACCTCCCACACAAAGATGTTCCTGTTCTCAAAAAGGTTAGTCTCAGAAGGAGATCCAAACTTAACAATAAATAATCATATTACTTATTCCTTTATCAAATGTTTACAATGGTAAAGTGTGTTAAGTTTTGTAATAGAGGAAAGGACAAGATTCAGAGGCTGCACTAAGGAGGAAGTTGTTACATCTTCTTGGGAGGGTCAAGGAAGTCTTTAAAGAAGTATCAGTTCTCCATTGCTAGAGTAATGCTACATAATAACCAAAAAACTTTCATAGCATACATGAGTCTGTGGAGTACAGCTGATCTGGGCTGGGGTCAGCTGGGTTTGCTCATATGTTTGCAGTAGACTGCAGGCTATCTAGGCAACTTTGCAATATTGGCTGGGGTGGCTCACATGTTGAGGGGAAGCTTAACAGTTGGCTGATCTAGGATTGTGTTGGCTGGGATGGTGGGCACCTTGACTTGGCACCATCTGTCTCTCCTCATCCAGCAAGCTAGCCCAGGGGCACTCTCCTACAGTCGCTGCTAACAAGCAAGACAAGCCCAATCACACCAGTACTTTTCAAGCCTTTACTGTGTTGCAGTTGCTGACATCTTATTGGTCCAAGCAAGTAATATGGCCAAGCCCAGAAGCAGAGTGGGAGGGTGCTGAAAGTTTCATGGCAAAAAGCAGGGATGCAGGAAGGAGTGAAGAATGGGGTATTGATCCAGTCAACCTATCCCCGAAGAGGAAACATTTGAAATGAGTACTGAAGATGCACATTTGCAGCACAGCATGGGAAGGGACACTCTAGGTAGAGGCAGGAGGTGTGAAGCAACATGTTTAATTTGTGGAAACTAGAAATAAGTACACTTAGAGTGTAGAAAGTATAGAAATGGTATAGAAACGGGATTATAGAGGTAAACAGGAACCACATCACAGAGGATCTTGTACAACAGGGAATTGATAAGACAATCTTATTCAACAAGGAACTGGTAGTGTGGTGTTAGACGCAATTCATGTGCTCTGGGAACTCCTGGGTTAGTCATCCCTTTGAAAGAGTTAAATGACAGCACAAGACAGGTCAGTGGAGACGTGTTCTATGCGTATTTATGTGAAAGAGAGAGAATAATCTAACTGGCTCAGGCAATGGTTTGCACCGTTTACTCAATGAACATAGGTCCCAGTATGACAGTGTGAAGGGACAGTGTTCTGCTGTGCTCTCACTTGCTCTTTGTTCTTTCATATTGTGAGCATCTCAGTAGGATTGAGTGTAAGGTGACTGCTGTGTTTAACTAGATACACATTTTTCCTACAGATTGGTTCTAATCTAAGCTGACCTCTTCTCTGGCATTTAAATCAAAGAAACGGCAATCTGTTTCAACATGGAGGATAAACTTGCTGTGATGGCCCATTAGTCAGTCTCCACATGGCACCATCTTCCTAAGGGATTTACAGGGGCCATTTTGACTGTTCTGTCCTTTCATGCTGATTTTGGAAGCTAACCTCCGTCTGAAATGAGGTTTCACTAAACAGTGATTATGATGTGGGCCATAGCGCTGAAAGAGTGACAGGCAAAAGAGATAAAGAGGGGCCAGAAAACTTAGGGCACCTTCATGGGAGATGAAAGAACTGGGCCTGTATCCTGCATAATAGGTACGAATTAGATAGGTTTACTTATGTGTTCTCTTTTGTGAGACTATCAAGTGGTAAGGCAGGGTATTGTTCCCTGATATAAACACCGTTCTGACATGTAGTTGATCTGAGATGTAGTTGATGGGTGGATGAATGAATGGACAGATGGACAAACAGATAGACAGACCAATGGATTTTTATTATAGAGATAGAACATGTTTGAAAGCAAGGAGGTTGGGAAGGAAATAAACAGACAAAAGGAGACTCTAAAGAGAAGGAAATACACAGACAAAAAATATTCTAATGTATAAAATTAAGAGATGAGGTTGGATCCTAAAATGCATTAAGTGCCATGGTAAAAAGTTGAGACTTTATCTTGCCAATGATAAGTGAGTTTGAACAAGTAAATGTCATAATGTGCAATAGCTTTAACTATAACTTCCCTGGAAACTGGTGCTCATTTGGGAAGAATATCATCCATGATCAAGGTATTAATCTTCAATTCAGAGATTAAATTATAAATGGTATACGTAGGCTCTCATTACTGGAAGGGAATGTGCTGATAATCTCATGTAGCCAAGCCACATAGCACAAAGTTAATGAAAGCCTGGGTTTTGATCCCACCCCTAGAACTTAACATCTGTGTAATCTTGGGAAAATGCTTTAGCTTCTGCAAACCTTAAAACAGAAAAAAAACTTCTGCAAAATTCTTAAAACATCTAAGGACTACATTCTTCTCCAAATTAAAACTCTCATTATTTTCAACCATAATGTATAAAACAGGAGTCTTTGTGTTCTAGCTGTATTTCTTTGGATATGTATTTTAATCATCTTAAAGGTCTACATCTTAAGATCTACTCAGTTTCTACTTTTGTGAAATGATGATGTTGTTATTACCTAACTCATACTAGTGTGGTGAGGGTAAATAAAATAATGATCTTGAAGTGTTTAGGGCAGGGCCTAGCATCTAGAGAGTGTTCAATAAACCTTGCTTAGCTGTTATGTAACCTCCCAGCAAGGGCAAGAATCTATGCTCAGAACTTTAGTCTCTTCAAAAATTCATTGATGAGGAGCTCAACACCTTGAGAGCCTTATATTTTTCTTCATCAGAGCCAATTCTATTCATTCAACATGTATTTATTGAGCATCCACTATGGGCCAAACATTTACATACATTGAAAATATAGCAGTGTACAAAATAAAATAACATGCATACACACACACACACGCTTCTTTGTTTATTTATTTATTTCAAAGTCCTTCAAGTTGATCTGGAAAAAGAATAGACCTCCCTACCCAAACTCTCAACCGTATGTCTAAGATACACTCTTTGGTACAACAGACATCATATTTACCCCCTCTTTATGTGACAATTCTTAAAACATCTAAAGACTACATTCTTCTCTAAATTAAAACTCTCATTATTTTCAACCATAATGTATAAAACAGGAGTCTTTGTGTTCTAGCTGTATTTCTATATATACATATTTTAATCATCTTAACCCAGCACACTTACAATAGCCATCTTTCATTTCTGGACCTCTTTGTGTCTAAAACATGAGAGGTGACATTGTATAAAGGAACAAGTGCAGGTTCTAAAGTCACATTGGCATAGATTTAAACCCCTCTTCCATACCTTAGACAAGCCATTTAACAGCTCAGATCTTCGATACACACATCTGTAAAGTGGGCACAATATTATTATTTACTTTATTGTCATCAAAGCCAAGTGAGATAAATTATATCAAGCATGGAAAACACAAACTCAATGAGTCTCAGTTTCTCTAAACCTTGGCCTCTCCATCCCTTGTTACCTCTGAAATATTAATGTCTCATTAGTTTCCAACAGTGAGATGGCTCTTTGGAGATTATTCTTTGTCATCACTCTTTTATGCAAACCAAGCTGGCTGGCATCCCTCTTGAATAAGCAGTCCCTATTTGTGTGAGCAAAGTAGATTAGTCCCAGGGCAGCAATCAGCACTGGTCTCTGTCAGTACTTAGCAGAGTTGGCTAATATTTTATTCATTAGCTATAAATATGGCTTTTCTCTCATTAAGAAGTGTCAGAGATAGTCCTGATTCAGGGAATCTGACTCAGACACATAAAGGAGGTGCTGTTTATTTTGGGAGTAGGAAGATGACAGCAGTGTTTCTTAGGGGAGGGTCTGTGGGTGAATTCTCAAGAGTTTACCATTTTCTCTCTTGAAGTTTTTAATTTTGTGTTTTCACTTTGATGATAGTCTTTAAATGCTCATAAGCTTTTAAAATAAGTCTATCAGCTTTTATTAAAAGCTGATAAGCTTATTTTGAATCTTTCCGATGACTTCTTTTATGCCTAGTACTTGGAAACACATATTTGTATTTGTGTTTTTGCAGTTTCTACCCCAAGCAGAGTGGGAAACACAATGTCTTCTAGGGCTGGGCAGATCATGTGACTGTCTCTAGGACCCGTGTCAGGCAGTGGGGAGTGGCTGATCCTGTGGAAGTGAGGAATAGATGCCTTATCAAAGGCCTTCAAGTAAAATAATGATGATTACAACAACACTGTAACCAAAAAAATGCATTTACAGTACTTATTTTCATCGTAATAAGTACTATAAACAAAAATTTAAGAGTATTAGGATAATAATGAGAGTTTGAGAGTGAAATAAAGCTTAGGATGGTCAAGAAAGGCCTCTCTGATTGATTAATGGGTACAATTAAACAGTTAAATAGAAGAAATAAGAACTAGTGTTCGATAGATCAGTAGAGTGACAATAATTAACAATAATCTATTGTACATTTCAAAATAGCTAGAAGTGAATAATTTGAATGTTCTTAACATAAAGAAAATTGTGATAGATATTTCAATCACCCTGATTTGAACTTTACACATCGTACGAATGTATTAAAATATCATATTACCCTGAAAATATGTACATCTACTATAAATCGATCAAAGAAAGACCTCTCTGAGATAGTAGCATTGAGTTGAGAACTGAATAAGGACCCAGCCCAGTTAAAGGAAGATCTAGGAGATGAACATCCCAGGAAAGAAAATAACTGGCACAAAGACTAAAGGGAGAACCACGCTTAGGACATTTTAAAGGAGAAAGGGGTTGGAATCTTGGCTAAAGTGCAGTGAGCTCAGGAAATGGAGGTGGAGTATCTTGTGAGCTGTGGAAGTAATTTGGATTTTGCTCTAAATGCATTGGGAAGACATTGGAGAGTTTTAAGCCAGGAAGTGACATGAGCTGACACTTCTTTTGTAAAGATCATTCTGGATGCTGTATAAATAATAAATTTCATGGGAAAAGGTGGAAACAGAAAGACGTCCTGGAAAGCCATTACAGCAACCACTGTAAAACTAGCAACACACACTCAGTGTTTATTCTAAGTACTTTATACATGATTTCATTTATGACAATTTTAAGGAGCAGATAGTACTGTCCCATTTTATAGATGAGGACACTGAGTCACAGAGAAGTTAAGTAACTTAACACGGACAGGGTAGTCAAAATGAAATAAAAAAGTTGACGGATTAAAGATTTGTTTGGAAGGAAAACAGCAATTGCTGGATCAGCTGTGGGGAGTGAGATGTGAGGGAAAGAGAGGAATCTAGGACAATATGGAGGTTATTTGCTGTTCCCATCATTGTTGATATTAACACAGGTGAAGTGCTTAGCACAAAATCAGTGCAAGACAAGAAGGATCCTTCCTGAAAGGACTTTGAGCTTGTTTTCTACTTAATAACAGCAACAACAAAAAGCATGTCATTGTGCCTTTGTACATGTACAACAGAATCACTTAAGGCTAGTTTTAAAATTGTTTGCAACTACAGTGCTCTTTCCTGAATGGCTGCACTTCAGGTAATTAAGACTGGTACAGACCTGACCTGATTGACGAACAACAAAACAGCCTCCTTGTGGTGATATTCAAGAGGTGAAAGCAGGCCAGGAAGTCCCAGCACGCTGGGATAAATTGAATCGCTACAGGAAAGAATGAAGAGAATGAATTTTTTGAAGCCTGTGTCCTGCCTGTAGAGTTTCAGACTCAGAACATTCAGGTAGTTTCAGCTTAAGCCACTTCAATAATTTCTTATTATCCCTTTTTAATTGGACTTCAGGGACACAACAGGGCCACTGATTGGCCTGTTTTTCACAAGGAGCAGTGAATTTACTGAGTTTTTCTCTTCTTTTTTGTTTTCAAATATTCCTCCTTAAAAAAAAATCTCACCTATAACTTCTATTTATTGAGCACTTTCCATAGATAAAGAGTTGTACCTTATGTCCTCTCTCTCATTTTACAACTCCCAGCTACAACCACCCATGAAGTACAGTAAGTGCTTTGTGCGCTCTCTGACCATGGAGAGTCAGGTGAAGTCATCCAGGGTGATGCAACTGGATCAGCAGCACCAGGGCTTGACCTGGTCAGCCTGGATCCAGAGCACAGCCTCTCAACTATCACCCCAGGCTGCCTTAATGAGGATTCAAACAACACTTTACCTACAACAAAAGAGGGCAAGGCTTAATAGACTCATGGCTTGCTCTACACATCGAGCCTGGATATGCTTTGAGCAGGTGTTCTTGAACGCCTGCCTTAGGATTTCATTTTCTGTGCAGAGGGATCTGTGTGAGGGAGGCTGGCCTAGGGTGGAGCTAAAATATGAAAGGTTTTGGAACTAAGCCTTGCTTTTTCTCTTCAGTGGCATTCAGATGATAAGCCAGAAAAGTCATGATTGAGAAAGAAACAGACAATCACAAGTTGCAGACTTGGGGCCTAGTTTTGTACAAAGGTTTATTTAGTAAGGTTGAATAGAAACTACTGTTTGTGTATGACCACATGCTGAGCATTGCTGAGCCCTTTTATATCTGTTAGACTCATTCTAGACCAATGACTATCTTAGGAGGCAATACTAATTGCCACCTATAAAATGGCAATATTATTATTAGTATTAGTATATTGAATATTGAACATTAGTGAATATACACAATATTAGTATTGTCATTTTATAGGTGAGAAACCATGGCTTGCCCTGTTTCAGAGTTTATTTGGGATATGAACTCAGAACCAAATTAAAGATTTTCAGCTACGTTATTCTGACTCAGCCAGAATTTTTCCACCATGAAGTGCTTTTGGAGATACCTATTAGACTGCAAATTCCATGAAAGAAGGATCATATATATTTTTCACCTTTATTTTTACAAGACCTAGTAAACAGTGGGCATGAAAGCAATAATTATCGAATGACTGAGTGATGGGCCAGTGGAATAACAGATAAACAAAATGATGGGGAGAAGGATGGATGGAAAGAATGATATCATCTTCCACTAGCTTTTATGTAAATAAAACATTTCAAGATTCTGTTCTGTATACATTTTGCCTTGGTTTGCATGTCCAATATTATATCCCTCGAATATTAAAGCTAACTAATTAGGACAATCTGAGCACTTCCTTTGCCCTTGCATATTAGGTAAGGGCTACTGCCATGTGAGAGCGGGGACTCACATGAGATCCTCTTTCCTTTGCTCCTTCTTGGTCTAGCGTTCAGCTCCAAGTGACACCCTACCAAGAAGCTTGTTCTGATTTATTAGCCCACATGAGAGGCACGCTCCTTTCTTCTCTCCTCTTCTTTGGACTCATTAGTTTTTGAATTAAATATTTAATTAAACTAATCATTGAGCTCTTAGCATCCATTTTATATTTGGAATAAAATTCAAAAATGTTGTACTTTTCCCAGGGCCAAGAATATGCTTCCTTATACTTCTTTATACCTATATATATTCTTATAGGTTTCTTATGGGTTTTGATCACTGGTTATTCTCCAAACTCCTCTCCTAAGCCCTCTCACCCTTGTTTGCTGTCTTCCACCCATGGACTGGCCTTTGGCTAATCATCAAACACAACAAACTTCCCTGACCAATCAGAAGTACTTATATTTTCTTGTGTGTGTCATCTTCTCCCAGATCGTCACCTGATGGCTCCTTCTCGTCATGCAGAATTCATTTTTTATTTATTCATTCAATAATTATTGAACTCCAACTATGTGCCCGCCATTTTTCTAGATGCTGGAAATGCGGCAGGAAATGAACACAAAGTGTCTGCCCTCATTAAGTATATATTTTAGTTGGGAAGAAAAATAAATAACAAATATGGTATGAGGCAATGATATATGCTGAAATGTCAGCTTTCCTGGCTATAGCACGTGTTCCCTCACCCAAGACGCTATTTCATATATGATTCTGCTTTATTTTCCTGTTATTTTTTATGAATGCTTTGATTGATAATATTCATTTGATTGATTTATTTTTTATGTTTTTCTAGACCATGAGAACCCTGAGTTTAAGGACATTGACTGCTATTTATTTTTATATTCTAGAACAGTACCTGACAGAGAGGGGGAGCTCAATGACAAAAATTAATGATGTGACATCATCTACCTGTCAAAGAGTTCCCAGTGTTTTTGTATGAGCATCAGAAAAGGATAAAAACAAAAAACCAGTTGCTAACTGGGAGCCTACAATGTGCCAGACACTGGATGAGGCAATGGGTACTGAGCAGCAAGTGATATTCAAGATCCCAGAGCAAGAGAGAGAAAATTAAACTAGTTACAAAGAGTAATAAAGTAATTTCAAGACTATAACAGTGACTGAGAAGGGTATACAACAAGTATTGTGGTGTACAGAAATAGGTGGGAAGGAGGGCTGTTTGGGAAAGTTGGCTGAAGAAGGGCCTTGCCAAAGGGGACAGAGGTGAGACCTGGTGGTTGAGAAAGAGTTGGTCATACAGAAACCATTCTACATAGCAGGAGCAGCCTTTGCCAAGTCTTCGAGGTAGTAGAGAGCACTGCATCCTTGTAAAGTAGACAGGAGGCCAGTGTGATTGGAGAGTGATGAGTGAGGAAGAGAATGGTAGTACAGGACCTTGGAGACATGGGAAGGGATGAGATCATAAAGGTGGAGAGCTTAGTGGTTCTTTTTTTAAAAAAATTATTAAAAACCATAGGATGCCTCTGGAAAGTCTTAAGCAGGATTGTGACAAGGTCTGAATTATATTTTGAGAAGATCATCTTGGCTGCTGTGTGGAGAATAGACTATAGAAGGGCCATGGATAATGACAATCAGAATTTTAGGAGAAAAAATATGAGTTTGCACAGAGGATGTTGGTGATAAGGTCATTATAAGCAGATGAAACGTGGACAGAAGCGAAGAGGCAGGAAACAGCCTCATGTGTTCAAGAACTATGGGTAATTTGACATGATTAGAGTGTGTAGTGGTAAGGTGTATATGGGGAAGGGGGCATACAGCATTTAATAGTTGTTCAATAAATGTTGGCTGAAGAATAGAATGGACTTAGACAGCACTCGGCTTAAGACTCAAGTATATCCAGTCTATTTTTGTGATTTTCTGTTTCCCTGGGTGTATCTCATTTCCCTGACTAAATTATAAATTCTTCAAAAGCAGAGAGATGGTCTAATATTTCTTTCTTACCAGCTGCATAATTAAAGTGTGTTTAAATTGAATGAATTAAAAATTAGAAGATCCAGGGAGTATGTTACATGAAGTTAAGGGCATTGATTTAGGAGTCAGATAACCTTGGATTCATAGTTTGAGCTCCACACACTAGCTGTGTGATCCTGGGAAAGTTATTTGATATCTCTGGGCCTTCTATTTTCTTTTTTTTTTTTTTTTTTTTTTTTTTTTTTTTTTTGTTTTTGAGACGGAGTCTCGCTCTGTCGCCCAGGCTGGAGTGCAGTGGCGGGATCTCGGCTCACTGCAAGCTCCGCCTCCCGGGTTCCCGCCATTCTCCTGCCTCAGCCTCCCAAGTAGCTGGGACCACAGGCGCCCGCCACTACGCCCGGCTAATTTTTTGTATTTTTTAGTAGAGACGGGGTTTCACCGTTTTAGCCGGGATGGTCTCGATCTCCTGACCTCGTGATCCGCCCGCCTCGGCCTCCCAAAGTGCTGGGATTACAGGCGTGAGCCACCGCGCCCGGCCTGGGCCTTCTATTTTCTAATATAGGAAATAGTGAAATCAAATCCTTCCCCCAGGGATGTTGTGAGGATTGAGATAAATATCTCTAATTCAGCAAAGTGGAATTCCGATGTTGTAAGCTCTTAATAAATGGCAGAGATTTGTTGTTTGTTTGTAATAGCAGTGTTTGTCTGTATCAAGGTCGAATGCTGTAGGTGGCAGAACAGGCAGTCAGGAGACCAGGCTCCTATTTAAAAGCCTACCACTAGTTCAGAGGGTGACCTCACTTCCCTCTCCGTAAAATAAATGGGGTCAGATGTTAGTGCACCTCAAAGAAGACACTCTGAAATTTGAAACAAAGATATTTTAAAATTTGACTAGTGATCAAAATGAGGGCTCGTGGTCATTTTGTTTCATGCTGTTGAAGTTTTGACTGGTTTATTAGGAATCTGCTTTATCAGATCTTGTTCCTAGATGAATGGGAAAAAAAAGAGTCTGCTTTAGTTGTTGTGTGACTTCCTAAAACACTTAGAAGACAAAGTGCTTTTAGAAAGTCATTCCCAAATTCACCCTGATCCACTGGTTCCACCTTAACCTCAAATTATAGGTTAAATGGTAATATTTTTCATTTTATAGGTGATAATGTCAGGCAAAGACAAGAAAAAGAACTTCCCCATAACATTTTCCCCATATAAATAACTAATATATAAAAGAATTGATCTGTGAACTCTTGGGTCAGCCTAACAAAGGTTGGAAAAATATTGTCCAAAGCCCACTCACAGGCTCCTTGACCTTCACCATCGTCTGGTGCTTCATTATTTTCATTTTTCAGTTTTCCCTCAGTTCTAGAGTGACTTGTAGTGCAGAGGAGAGAACCAATGGACTAGGAATCAGAAGGTGTGGTTTCCAGACCCACCTCTGCTACTTAGCAGTGCTATCTTGGGCAAGTTACTGAATATCTCCAAGCCTCAGTTTCCTCAACTGTAGAATGCCTCATACTGCTACTGAGAGGATTATGTGAGATAATGCATATAAAATTAACATGAATATAGTTTGTTTGAAGAGTGAATAATAGCATGTAACTTAATGAATGAGAAATCTGAGAGCTTCTCTTTTATACCACTAGCAGACATACTTTTCTCTCATTATGTCTCTAGCTAATAGTCTGGTCAGTCCTTTGGAATCCTCCTTGCTGTATACTCTGATGACCTCTTTCTTTGATGACTTCCATTACGGTGTGATCTATTCATGCCATGTTTGACTTCAACCAGTACATCCCCTGTGTAAGATGGTATATAGCATAATGGTTAAGACTTCAGATTCAAATATCTGGATTCAAATATCTGGCTTCTTATCTCTGCTGCTAACTACTCTGTGAGCTTGCATCATGCTTCAGTTTCTTCATCTGATTGTGGAAAGAATAATAGTATCTATTTCATAGAGCCAAAGATTGATACATGTAATTGAAACAGTGCTTGGCAGGTAACAATTATCAGCTGTTATTATGATTTACATGCCTTCCCATGCCTGCCTTATGAATGAGATCAATGGTTTGACAATGTAGCTTCAGAGTTAAGTTAAAGCCAGAGTGGACGGCATATTTTGTAAGGTTATGTGGCACTTTAATAACATTTACTTGGTGATCATGGTTTTGTGGTCCTTTGTAGAAATAACTGGGTTACATATACATGAATAGAAAAAAGAAATACCTAGTGCCCAGGGCTGAGAGAAGCTCTATTTGTTGTATGTTGTTGTAGTAGAAGTCATAGTAGAATTGGTAAGTGGATTAGTCAGGGTTCTCTAGAAGGACAGGACTAATAGGGTAGATGTATATATAAACGAGAGATTATTAAGGAGTATTGACTCACATGATCACAAGGTGAAGTCCCACAATAGGCCATCTGCAAGCTGAGGAGCAAGGAAGCCAGTCCAAATTCCAAAATCTCAAAAGTATCCCTACTTTTTGAAGGCTGACAGTGCAGCCTTCAGTCTGTGGCTGAAGGCCTGAGAGCCCTGGCAAACCACTGGTTTAAGTCCAAGAGTCCAAAAGCTGAAGAACTTGGAGTCCAATGTTTGAGGGCAGGAAGCATCCAGCATGGGAGAAAGATAGAGGCCAGAAGACTCAGGCAGTCTATTATTTTATTCTAGTTGCACTAGCAGCTGATTAGATTGTGCCCACACAGATTAAGGGTGGGTCTTCCTCTCCCAGTCCATTGACTCAAATGTTAATCCCCTTTGGTAATACCCTCACAGACACACCCTGGCACAATACTTTGCATCCTTCAATCCAATCAAGTCGACACTCAATATTAACCATCACAGTAAGGTTATGGTACATGTGGTGGTAGGATTGTGTGTATGCGTGTATACATGTACGTATATTTATGTAAAAACATATATACACAAATGAAAATATATATTACATAAAAAGATGTATATGTATGCACACATATGTGTGTGTTCTGTAAAATGGTAGAAGCAGGAGAACTAGTGGTGAAGGTGGTGGTAGAATTCGAAAGGACAAGTAGTAGAATTGTAAAAGGGAAAATAGTACAAAAGTGAAAGTGGAAGTAGTACTAGTGGAAGCAGAAGTAGCAAACGCTTTATGCCAAGCACTACGCTAAGCATGGCATAAATTATATCATTTCATTCTCATATAAAGAGGATTAAAGGGTGAAGAGACTTAGGTCGAACCACCCACCCAAGGTCACAGACTGGTAGAGGTGAGATTCACTGCCACCTCTGTCTTTCTGAAGCCTATGTTTCTCTGAATCATTCTGCTCTACTGATTCATTGATTGTTCATCTCTAACCATTATCTAATATGTATACGAAACAAGTTTTAGTAGCTTATGAAAAAAAATCACTCCAAATTCATCATATATTTTTTTGAACCTGGCACAAATGAATTTTGAGATCCATTTTATTTAGTATGGATGTCACTTTTAAAAGTTTAATCACCAATCATTTCATTCAAGGGAAGGATTTCTTAGGGTGAAGGGCTATGAGTAGGGTATTCTTAATTTGTTTACTGGAAATAGAAATTTGTCCAGTTTGGGACTTTGGACAATTGAGAAATCAGATGGTGTCACATTCCCTTGTCACCAGGAACCTGTAGAATGTTACACAGAGCAAATGCTGACTAAGCTACTCCTGTTCATCCTGTCTCCAAAATGCATGGCCCATTGAAATATTAAGTGGAAGAAACTGTGTTTTCAACCTAACAAAATAAATATACAAGTATGGCTAACAGGTTTTGTTGTTCAAGTCTCAATCTTTCTACTTAATGAAAGCTCTTCTTTAGATCTTCTAGAACTTTCTTCCAATGAAACTTTTTGAGTCATCATCATGCAGTGTGGCACAGGAGTCTTCTCCTGTGAAAGGAAACTCGCCTGTCAGGCATTTTCCACATTGTGATTCAGTTATTCCCACACTAAACCCTCACAGTGACTCTATGAGGAAATGAAGGCTCTGAGAACCTAAATGACTGCTCAAGACCACACAGCCAATGAGAGGTGCATATAATGAATCTATGCACGGTGTCTAACACATGGTAAGCCCTCAAGAAATGGTAGCTATTAATGTGATTAATAATCTCACTGTTTGACCAAGTGGACAGATGTTTGAATGAGGTGCATGAGCAACTTCTCTAGAGCGTACAGCCTAATACAGAGGTTAACTAATTATTCTCCAAAGGACAATGAGGGATTCTGCGGGGACCTTTCAGGGCTGTGGACCAGAGGTAGACATGGCAAATGGAAACAACCATGAGAGGTCACTTGTCCATGCTTTAGCTAGAGAGATCCCATTTGTTTAAACATTTATTTTTGAAGATAGGATTTCCAGGAGTCCAAACAAAATTAGAAATTTTCTGGTTTTGTAAATCATCTTTAACACTTATATTGCATTTAAGGAGCTGTGTTTGCTTCTTGAACATAGATAATGTCGAAAATATCACTAAGAAACATTAACGTTTTATAATGTAGTGTATAAATAACTGGAGGTTTTCTGTAAGGAAGTAAGAAAAGTTAGAAACCTGATGCTATGCCACTAATAAAAAATTTTACAAGATGTAAACCTCAAAACTTATTTTAAAATACAATATTTCTGTCCTCTAATACACTAATATTACCAGCACACTTTTGTGGAATGCCTATGTGCAGAGGGCAAATATTTCATTCAATATCCATAATACGCCTTTAAAGTAGATTTTATTATAACTGTTTTATAGAGCAGGAAATGGAGGCTTAAGGTATTTACCCAGTTCTTTATAACTAGAATGTAGAAGAGAGCTAGGATTCAAATTCAAATCTGTCTGACCCCATGTTCCAGGTCTGTCTCATATTCTGTGCTGCCTCCCAGTAGTGTCTATAGTCCTGTAGACACATTTTTCATAAATGTGGAAATAAAGAAGTTGAAGCATAGATTTAAATCATAGAGTTATTTCGTCCCTCCAATCCAAGTTCTGTATATTGATCCACATTGTATGAAATCAAGGTGGATCTCAGATCTAGTTTTAATGGACCAGGGATAAAGGTAAAAGACATTCTCAGGTAACAAAAAAGGAGGTTAAAATACATCTGCAACCTTCTTTTTTCCTCTTAACAATAATCCCAGCACTGATTCTCTGCAAAGACAATTGATCCTAAAGATGCCTTTTTGGAAACTTTGGTAAAATTTTCTTTATAATTATCTGAAATGAGATATTTATTCATTTTTGACCAAAGTGGTCTAAGAAATTGATTAGACATCTTTCAATTTTTCCCCAAATTGTTTCTTATTAATAAAATTAATTTACCATAGACCAAATGAGATTGTTAGGCCATTGAAGCATGAGCTCTATGGCATAGCCTATAATTTAAGAAAGTTTCTCTTGATTACTTTATGAAGGGGGAGGGGAACAAAAATATGAGAGAAGTTACTGATGCATTGGAGTTTATAATTTTTCTTTTTCAGCAAAATGAACTATTACATCTTTAGAATTATTACAGAGAATATACACAAAAGAAAACTAGAAAATATGCAAAATATTTTCTAGAAAATATGCAACTATGCAAAAAAAACTAGAAAATATGCAAAATAGTCAACGGAGAGAAAACAATTGGGTGGAATGTGCTTATGATTATAATAAATGAGGGGAAAAAAGAGAACTCCAACTTTTTCACTGTCTAACAACTATGTGAATACACATATAAATGAAAAATCAGGAAGACTACCAAATGCTAAGACCTCGTTTGTATTAACGTTCAGAGGTTATGTGTAATTTTTTCTCTTTGATACTATCCACATGTGCTGTGATGTAGTTGTGATGCAGCTGAAGTCGCTTCAACTCTAACCTCACCTTTAACCCTAACCCTAACCCTAACTCTAGTCCCCTTCAACTGCATCTATAGCAAATGGAACTACCTCATACCAAATGCGGACAGTACAGAGGGGAAAAGATTATGAATTTACTCCATAATTCCATTTCCCTTTCTCCCTTTGCAGAGGCAACTCCAATCATGAATTTGTGAGTGTATCCATTTAGTATGTTCTTACGTTTGAGCTATAAACTCATGTATCTGTTAAGGATATAGTTTTTAAATTTTTGTATAAATGACACCTTATGTTATCCTTCTGCAACTTTTTTTTACGAAGCTGTGTTTTCATATTCTATCTATGTTGATGTATATGTCATTTGTTCATCATAATTGCTGTATTGTATTTCCTCATATGAACACATCCCAATTTGTTTATGCATTTTCTCGCTAAGGAACATGCAGATTGTTGTAAATTTTTACCATTTCAAATAATGCTTCAGTAATCATTCTCCTATATTTGTAGGTAAATATAAGCAAGTTTCTCAAAGCTATTTACTTAGAAGTAGAATTGCTAAACAATACTAACTAATCAACTTCAGTGTTACTAGATATTGAAAAATTATTCTCCAAAATGGTTGTGACAATTCATACTCTCAAAGCAGTGTAAAGATTTCCTATTTCTCCATATTCTTGCCAAATAAGGTATTATTTTCAAACTGAGATTCTAGCTAATCTGATGAATGTGAACTAAATTTTCGTTATCTTGATTTCCATTTCCCTGTTCACTATGAGGTTAGGAGTTTACCTTTATAAGCTATTCAATTTGACTCTTCAGTGATGACTGGAATATACTTTCGTCCAATTTTCTATGGGTTTGTCTTTTTCTTATTGCCAAAGTTCCTGATAGAGTCTAAATATTATTTGTTACACTTTACTATTAAGTATGTTATTTGTTGGAGGGTAATCTAGTGAAGAGCGTTTATCTCCCTGGAATGCTTTTTTGCATATTAAAATAACCTTTTTCACTTTTATTGAAACAATGTGATTAATTACAATAATAGATTTTCTGATGTTAAGCCATCCTTGAGGTCTCGGAATAAATTTCAGTTATTCTTGAGTTATTTTTAAAACTGATTAATTCATTTTTCAGCATTTAGTGAATTTGGGCTAAAATCTCTGAAGTGAGATTGGAGTAAATTTTCTCTTATTCTTTGATCATTTTGTAGTCTTCATTTCAAAATTGTATTATCTTCTTAAAACGAGTAGCGTAGCTTTTCCTCTTTTTCTATCCTCTAAAACAGCTCATTAAAACTTGTCTATAAAACTATTTGGTAGAGAGCAAGAAGAGAGGCGAGTTAGGGTGGAGGTAGGTACAGGGAAGAGTGGAGGTGTGTACTACTGATAAAAGTTCTTTAATGATTTATTGGCCTATTAGTTTTTGTGTTTCTTTCTCAGTCGGTATGGTAATTTTCTACTTCCCCATAAAGTTGCCAATTTTCTCTAAATTTTTAAAGTTACTGGTAGAGAGCTGATCATAACACTTTCTTAGATTTCTGAAAGCCTAAAACTATCTCTAGTTTTGTTTCCTTTCTTATCTCTAATTTGTGTCGGTGTATACGCATTCGTGTGTACCCTTTCTCATTTTCTTCATCAGTCACACTGAAGTTGGTCTAATATTAATATACCTGCTTCAGTTTTCTTTGGTACTATTTGATTTGTATGTCTTTTCCATCCATTTACCTTGGATCTTTGGCTTGTCTGCTGCTTTTAAAAAATATATCAATTCAGATACTCTTTATTTTATTGGAATAGCTTAATCTATGTACATTTATTACAATCCTTGACCTATTTGGAATTTTCCCAATTAAGATTTACTATGCAATTTCTATAATTGCATTTTTTTCTTTCCTCCTTTTTAAAAAATATTTAAGCTTTCTCATTGCATTTTTCCCTTCTGCCAGTTTAGAAGTTAAATATTCTATTTCTATTTTTTTAGTAGTTACAATTAAATTTTGACATCTATAATTTACAAAGTCTAATGTTAATCAAAATCTCCATCCTGCTCGTAAATAATGCAAAGACTTGAGAATAATTTTCATAGCCCTCTTCCACTACTTTCCATATTATTATTATGGAAAATAATAGTATAGCTATTATAATTTGAATATTGACTCCTTTACATCATTCTCTTTCTTCTTTCTTTTTATAATCCTTAATATATGTATGTTGGACTTTCTCATTCTATCCTCCCTATCTCTTCTTTTTAAATATTTTCTATCTCTTTATCTCTCTATGCTACATTCTGGGTAACGTCCTCATATCTAAATAATTCACCAATTCTAGGCCAGTGGCTCATGACTGTAATCTTAGTACTTTTGGGAGGCCAAGGCAGGTGGATCACTTGAGCCTAGGAGTTCGAGACCAGCCTGGGCAATATGGCGAGGCTTCCTTTCTACAAACACACAGAAAAATTATCTGGGTGTGGTGGCACACAACTGTAGTCCCAGCTATTCAGGAGGCTGAGGTGTGTGGATTGCTTGAGCCTGGGAGGTTGAGGCTGCAGTGAGCTGAGATTGCGCCACTGTACTCCAGCCTGGGTGACAGGATGAGAACCTGTCTCAAAAAATATATAATAATAATACTAATGATAATAATTCACCAATTCCTTCTACTGCTGCATCTAGTCTACTTTTCAGCCTCTACATTAAATTTTTTATCTTAAGAACTATATTTTATGATCTCTATAACTCCTTTCTCCAAATCTATAGGGCATTCTTTTCCCTCAGTCTCTTGTTTTTACCTAATGGCTTTTATTCTTCACTTTATTTCTTGGAATACTAAAAACACATGTATTTTAAATTAACGTTCATGTTATTCTATTATTTAGGTCCCCCATTAGTTATGCCTTCTGACTATCTTACTGCAGCTCATCTCCTTGTGTGATTTTCAGTTTTCACTATCAGCTTATTTTGAGTGGGAATTTGTTTTCTTTGGAAACTACAGGTGCCGTGGATTGTGGAAGCATCTTTACAGAATAATTTCAGATTTGCCTTTAGAAGAGGGATTTGAATTTCAATCATCAATTTTGGCTTTGTGTCTCTGAAATGAGCAGATTGTTTATTAAACCCCACCTCTGTATTTGGTGCTGGGTTTTCAAGTTTCTGATTTCTCATTGGTGACTCTTTCAGTTCCTATGGCCATAGTCAGATAGCAAACTTCCAAGCTCATTCCCTGGGAGAGTGGACGGATACGTTTAGTACTCGTTTTACAGATGGAACAGCATATTGTAACTCTGGACTTGATGCTGATAGCTCCATTTCAGTTTCCTATTCAGATGAGGCTTATGGTTCAGACTTACCTTCTGACTCAGACATTAAATCCCCAGCTGCCCAGTCATTAAGATTTCTCTTTATCTGGTCTCAATTTCCCTTTGTGTTCCTTGACTGCAGTTCTCACTTGCATCTTTAATTGTGAATTTCCTCTGTATGTCTGGCACCTGGGGATTTTGCTTTATTGATTTCTGTGTGGACTGTATAATCTTTACACAAGTCTTTGCATTGCCATCTTTCATCTAGAATTCTTATGCATTTGGAGTAGGGGTAGTGTGCCTCCCATATATGCTTAGGTCACCATATTGGCCAGACACACATATTATTTCTCTAATGAGGAAAAAATACAAAAAGCTTTCAAAATATGTTTTTAAAAATGTTACATTTTAAGTAACCCTTTTTTCTCCAGGCTTTTCAATGCAGAATTTGAAGAACCACATAATTACGAGGCAACAATTTCATATCTGAGACACTCTGGCAACTCCATTAACCTGTGCACTGCAAAAGAAATTGCTGATCGTAAGTCTGCTAAGCCAATTAATAGTGTAACCCTGTGTGGAATGAAAATGTGTCAAAAATGATATTTTCCCTTTAGCTAACTGTAAGTTTAAAAATGCACAGCCATCCTGCACAACCATCTTATTTCTTTTTCTTTTTTTTTTCTGTGTCTGGTCTCTTAAAAATATAAATAAATCCAGCTGGGCATCAGTGCTATCTCACAATAGCTATTGCTGCCTTCCCAGCCTCTTCTTTTCTCCCCTTTACCAATCGACTCAGCTGCTTTGCCTTTTGTAGATATGAGGGAGGGAAAATCAAGATATGATGATTCATTTTTCTTCCTTCTCTTCCTATAGAAACTTCATCTCTTTTCTCCTGGTGTCTTTCTTGAAGTTCCCTGGTTACTTGGTGTGTGGAGAGTGAGATAACAGACCATGAGAATTAGGCCCCTGTGTTCAGTCTGAATAGGAGCAGGGGATTTATTTAATGGATCTGACCACTGGCTCAGAGCTAAGTCTTCCTGCCTCTGGCATTGCTGACAATGCTCGGGACATTTTTGTGAGTAAAGAGACCTTCTCATGTAAAAAGATGAGGGAGCAGAGATTATTGCATTTCTACAAGGTACAATGTCCTTGTTCTGCCTATAGTATCAGCCAGTTCTCTATAAAAGGCACACATTTTAGTGCTGGAATAAACACTAGTATTTAGTGAGCTTGTACTATAGGATACTGTAGTTCTGTGTTAGGTTCCCCATGTACAGCCCTGCTGATAGAGTGGTTTGATCACCCCTAATGTTTGATACAGGAAACTGAACATCAGAAAGATTGAGTTGCACGAGGCCATAAATATAACATGGAATAGAGTTATAATGTGAAACAGGCTCAGGCTACCTCTAAATTCTATGCTTTTTCCACAAGTTTATGCTACTTCTTATTCAAGGAAGTTTGGCTTCCCTGAAAGCAGGGCTAAAAACTTCTTCATTGTATAGACAAGAACCTCAAGGTTCTGGGAAAGGAAGTCATTTTCCTGGGAATACATACTTAGGAAGTTCATGAGGTAAGGATCAGGACCTACTGAAATTTCCCTCTTCTCCCTCAAGAAATAAGGAGTTGGGACCGGGCGCAGTGGCTCACGCCTGTAATCCCAGCATTTTGGGAGGCCGAGATGGGCGGATCACGATATCAGGAGATCGAGACCATCCTGGCTAACACGGTGAAACCCCGTCTCTACTAAAAATACAAAAAATTTAGCCAGGTGTGGTGGTGGTGGGAGACTGTGGTCCCAGCTACTCGGGAGGCTGAGGCAGGAGAATGGCTTGAACCTGGGAGGCGGAGCTTGCAATGAGCCGAGATCGCGCCACTGCACTCCAGCCTAGGCGACAGAGCGAGACTCCGTCTCAAAAAAAAAAGAAAAAAAAAGAAATAAGGGGTTGGAGAACTATTAGAAAAACTGCCTCTCTTTTAGACTGGGCAGTCTAGATTCTCCTAAATGGTTTGTAAAATACTAGCCATAGGAAGAGCAACTCTTGACCCTGCCCAGCACCCCCAAAATGCAGTGCTGCCCCATACTCAGAGTATATGGACCCCTTCTTTAGAGCAGGGCTTCTCAATTTCTAGCGTTCATACAAGTCATGCAGGGATCTTGTTAAAATGTAGATTCTGGTTCAGCAGCTCCGGTATGGAGTCTGAGATTGTGCATTTCTAACAAGTTCCTTGGTGATATCAATGCTGCTGGTCTACAGACCACACTTTGAAAGAAAGGCAGTGGGCACCATTTGGGCCACGTTCCAACTATATGTCCTTCTACAAGGCTAAGAATTCACAGAGCCAAATGGATGCTCCAATCAGAGCCTGCTCCTTCTCTCTCTGGACCACGTGATGCCCCTAGAATCCACCCCCCTGCAAGTAGCTCATTTCAAGTGAAGTGGACCTCTGTTTCTGGGAAGATGGAACAGATGTACTTTTGTCCTATTGCTCCTGCTAAGTACAGCTAAAAGCCCCAGGCATTATGTATGTAAAACAAACATAAGAAGACTAGATGACTCTGAAAGGTAGAGAGAAGAAGGTAGACCAGCTAGGGACATCAGGCCCCAAGGAAGGATAAGGTGGTGAGTTCCCTGGTTTTCTTCTTGCCTCGAATATGTCAGTTTTGGAGGTAAAAAAGTTAGCAACTCAGAAACACCAGTGGGCACAACAACAGCTTCAGCTGAAGCCTGCTCTTTCTAGCCAAACGACCAGGAAAAGGGCAACCTAGAAAGACAGAAAACCTCTAGACAATAACTAGTCTACTCCAGCCAAACATCATAGAAAAAAATGTGGCCCACCACCAACAGCAATGCTGAATGGGGAGCTTGGACATCTACCCTCAGCAGGCTGCAATGATGCACCCAACTCCTCCACTGGAGTGATGTCAGAGAAGGTCAAGTAGGGAGCTGGGATTTCCACCCCTGCCAGGTGGTAATAAAATTCCACTTAGTGTCCATAAAGATTATGTGAGGAACTTTGACTTTCACTCCCCTTCCAGCAGTAACAAGATGCCCTTCTCCCTACCTCAAAGGATGGTGTCAGAGGAGACCTAGTAGAAAGGATCTTCATAACCACCCAGCAGTAAGAAGGCCACCCTCTCCTTGTAGTGTCAGCAAAGGCCATATGGGAAGTAATAACAGGGCACTCCTACTCTTTCCAGCTAAGATGTTATCAGCAGAAGCCTACTGGAGAGCCAAACTCCTTCCTACTTCTGCCCAGCAGTGATGAGGTGCTGTTTTCTCACTTGGGTATTGTTATGAACTGATTGCTTGTTACCTCTAAAATGCTGAAAACCTACCCCCAATGCGATGGTATTTAGGAGGTGAGATCTTTAGGAGGTAGTTAGTATTACATGAGGTCATGAGGGTGGAGCCCTCTCAAATGGGATTAGTGTCTTTACAAGCATCCCAATAAAGATTGCTTTCTTCTTCTCCATATGAGGGCACAGTGAGAAGACAGCTGTCTATGAACCAGGAATCTGTTGTCACTTTGATCTTGGAACTTCCAGCCTCCAGAACTGTGAGGAATAAATTTCTGTTATTTATTAGCCATGCAATTTATGGTATTTTGTTACGGCAGCTGAAGCTGAAAAAAAAAATATATCTGCCAAAATTGAGATGGCTGAAATACTAGAATTTTCTGACTAAGACTTTAAAGCAGCTTTTATAAAATTTTCCAATGCATAGTTATGGACATGCTTGAAATAAATGAAGAAAAGTCTTATCAAAGAAATAAAATGTCTCTATAGAGAAAGAGAAATGTAAAAAAAAAAAATGACAATGTTAGAACTAAAAAATAAAAAGGTCAGTGGATGTGCTCAACAGCAGAATGGAGGGACAAAAGAGTCAATGACTTAAAAATAAACAATAGTAACTACCAAATCTGAACAAGGAGAAAATAAACTGAAAAAAAAAATGAAAAGAGCTTCAAAAAATTGTGAGACTATAACAAAAGATTTAACATTCATGTCATTAGACTTCTGGAAAGAGAAGAGAAGGCGTGCATGACTGAAGAAGTACTTGGAGAAATAGTGACTGAAAACTCCCCCAGTTTGGCAAAAGACATAATATGGGTCAGGAGCGGTGCCTCACACCTGTAATCCCAGCACTCTGGAAGGCCGAGGCGAGTGGATCACCTAAGGTCAGGAGTTCAAGGCCAACCTGGCCAACATGGTGAAACCTCGTCTCTACTAAAAATACAAAAAAAATTAGCTGGGTGTGGCAGTGGACACCTGTAATTCTAGCTACTTGGGAGGCTGAGGCAGGAGAACCTCTTGAACCCAGGAGGCAGAGGTGGCAGTGAGCTGAGATCACACCATCGCACTCCAGCCTGGGCAATAAGAGCAAAACTCCATCTAAAAAAAAAAAAAAATAGACATAATATGACAACAGATTCAAGAAACCAAGCAAATCTAAAAGAAATGCAATCTCGCGAAGAGTCATAATCAAACTTCTTAAAGACAGAGAAAAATTCTTGAAAGCAAGTAGCAGGAAGGAAACAATAAGGATAAGATTAGAAATAAATGAAATGAAATGAAAACAAAAAACAATAGAGAAAATCAGTGGAATTAAAGATGTGTTCTTTGAAAAAAAATCAATAAAATTGACAAACTTCTAGCAAGGTTGAAAAAATTGATAAACGTCTAGCAAGGCTGAAAAAATAGATAAACTTCTAGCAAGGCTGAAAAAGAAACAGAAAAAAGATATAATATTAAGACTGAAGCAGGGATATCATTATAGACTCTGTAGATATCAAAACAATAATAAGGGAATATTATGAACAACTCTCCACATTTAAACTTAACAACTTAGATAAAAAAAGGAACAATTCCTCAAAAAGCACAAATTACCACAACTCACTCAAAATAAATAATTTGATTAGCCCTGTAACTCTCAAGAAAAACTGAATGCATAGTTTAAAAACTCCCCCAAAATGAACTCTAAGTCAGGTGATTTCCCTGAAAAATTCTATCAGGCATTTAAAGATGAATTAATACCAATTTTATACAATCTTTCCCAAAAATGGAGGAGAAAACACATTTTTTTAAAGCTAGTATTACCATGACCATGATATCAAAACTAGACAAAGGCAGTACAAAAGAAGAAAACTTCAGATCAATATCCTTAATTAGCATAGTCATAAAACTCCTCAACAAAATATTAGCAAATAGAATTCAGCAACATAGAAAATGAATTATTCTTTATGATCAAGTGTGATTTATTCTTCATTTGGTTGTGGTATATAAGGGTGCAGAGATGCAAAGCTGGTTCAATATTCAAAAATCAACAAAATCACCATATTGGCAGGATAAAGAAGAAAAATTAGACAATCTGTGCAGAAAATAATTTAACAAAATACAACCTCCATTTATGATTTAAAAAACTGTCATAAAATAGGAATAGATGGGGACTCTATTGTCTTCCTCAACTTGATTAAGAACATGTACAGCAAGCCTACAGCTAATCATGATACTTAATGGTGAAACACTGAATGCTTTTCCCCTACTACCGGTAACAAGGCAAGGATGTCTGCAGTTACCATTGCTATTCAACATAGTGCTGGACGTTCTAGCTAGTGCAATAAGGCAAGCAAAGGAAATAAAATGTATACAGATAGAAAAGGAATAAATAAAACTATCTATTCACAGTGGCATGATTATCTAGATAGAAATTCCCAAGAAATTTACCAAAAAAGCACACAAAAACCCTCCTAGAACTAATAAATGATTTCAGAAAGATTGTAGGATACAAAATAAATGTACAAAAAAATCAATTATATTTCTGTATATCAGGAATGAACATACAAATACTGAAATTGAAAAATATATCATTTATAATTGCTTAAAAATAGATATGTGTTTATATTTAAATCCTACAAAGCATGATAAGGCCTAAAAGCTTAAAGCTATAAAATTCTGATTAAATCAAAGAAAATCTAAATAAGTGGAGAGACATACCATGTTTATGGATCGGAAGACACAACACAGTAAAATTAACAGTAAAAATGTCAATTATCTCAAAATGATACACAGGTTTAATAAAATTCCTATAAAAATCCCAGTAGGATCTTCTGCAGATACAGACAAGATTATCCTAAAATGCATATAGAAAGGCAAAGGAGTTAGAATACCTAAAAACAATTTTGAAAAATAAAAGGGAGGCATTAGTATATCAGTTTTAAGAATTATCAGTATAATAATCAAGACTATCTGGTATTGGCAAAGAGAGACACGTAGAACAATGGAACAGAATTGAGAATTCAGAAATAGAATTATACAGATATGCCCAACTGTTGTTGTTATTTTTTTTAACAAAGATGTAAAGGCAGCTCAATAGAAGAAACACAGCCTTTTAAAAAATGGTGTTGGACCAATTGCCATAGGTAAACGAAAATAAACTTTGGCTTAAGTCTCACACCTTATACAAAAGTTAACTTAAAATGAATGTTTCCTCTTTGTTTTTTGTACACCAAAGGTGAGACATCTAAATGATACCTTTCAAAGAGGCAGGGAGAGAGAGACGGAAGGGAAGGAGAGAGGGAAGGAAGGAGAAAGAGGTCAAGGTGGTTGGCTTTTGCTGTTGCCTTTGGGTGACTGTCCCTTGAACAAGGCCAAGAAAACAGGGAAGACCATCCTTGTTTAGTGCTTAGCTCAGCACTGGTGCCTTTGGTGAGGTTTCATCTCTTTTATACAGAACTTGGCATTGGGCATACATGATTCAGGCTGTTCTAAAAGCTCTGCAGAATTGTCCTCAGAGGTCATATAGACTAGTGCTTTGCAGACTGTACTTCTAGGCCCCAGAGAATTTTTTGAAGAGTCTTGGAGACTCTCGCAGATACCTTCAGACTTGTGTTTACACTTCTGCATAACATTCCATTTAAATTAATAAAGCCATGGATGGAAGAAAATTTGCAAGCCGTTTCTTACCTGAGTGATCTTAGACAATTTACTTCACTTGTCTGGCTGGCTGTTTCCTCGTCAGTAAAATTGGAATATTAGTAGTGATTGTCATTGAGAATTAAATGAAATAATGCATTTAAATGCTTGGCATAGTGCCTGCTATCTATAAGTATAAAAAATGTTAGTTTCTTTTAAATTATTATTTTTATTATGTTAGTAATAAACATTTCACCTCCAGGTGTAAAAGAGGTAATGGGACTTTTCCAAGATCATACAGACAGGATGAGGAGAAGGAACAAAAGGCCTCCAAGACATGACCGTGTTGTGACACTAGCAGTTGGAGGATTGCTGAGGACCATCTTCAGATATTTGTCCTTTCTCTGCCTGCACAATAAAACTAATCAGTGGAGAGAGGGTTATATAACTCTGTGCAGAAAGTAAGCGAGGACTCTGATGCTGCAGATCACATGCTCTTGTCATAATTCCTAGTCCATTTCTGATCCTTTGGGATGTAGCCCTTTATCCTCTATATTCCTACCTTGGAATATATGTTGGAATTCCTACCTAAGTTTGGATAGCTTAGCTTGCCACGAAAGAACCTCCACTTTGTTAAAAAGCAGTAACAACATTATGAATACGTTATTAATTGAATGTGTATTATCTTTGTTTACTAGCCATGGCAAGTAAGGCTTCTCCTGGCTTTGGTTTCATCATTTCTAAGACAGAATAAGTAATAATATCCATCTCAAGGTGGTTAGGAGAAGCAAATGAGCTCATGATTTGTTTTTGAAAAGCATAGACAAGTAAATAAATTGGAGTAGAAAGGAGGAGATTATTATTTTTAAAATTGGAAAGCAAATTCATATCAGGAATGGATATTGGGCAAACTGTATCACAAACAGGTATTTTTAAAGTATTAATAAGTGTACAATTACCTAATTTAAAGTATTATGTGTACAATTACCCAAGTTGAAATACATATTATTAATTATCCATGTAGAATTTTAGGTCTGTGTCAACAATTATATGCTGACAGTCCCTAAACAAAACCTAGCATTTCATTGATTTTGTCAGTGTATTATATGTTTAGAATAATAAAAGCTTGGAAATGCAACATATTGTTCAGTCAGTTTTCTAAAGCTTCAGGACTTTAGCAGCAAGAAAGAGAAAAACAGAGGGAGGAGTCCTTTTATGCACATATGTTCATTAACAGTAGGGATAAAACTTTTATAAATAACTTTTAAGCAAAGAAAACCAACCAAGCAATTTTATCAAAAAACATTGCCATTTTCTATACAATGTCCAGTGTTCTGCTAGGTATGTTAAATTTCCTTTTTTTTTTTTTTTTGTGATGGAGTCTCACTGTGTTGCCCAGGCTGGAATACAGTAGCGCGATCTCGGCTCACTGCATCCTCTGCCTCCCTGGTTAAAGCAATTCTCCTGCCTCAGCCTCCAGAGTAGCTGGGATTATAGGCCTGCCACTGTGCCTGACTAATTTTTGTATTTTTAGTGGAGATAGTGTTTCACTCTCTTGGCCAGGCTGGTCTTGAACTCCTGACCTTGTGATCCACCTGCCTTGGCCTCCCTAAGTGCTGGGATTACAGGCATGAGCCACCACACCTGGCCAAATTTCTTAAATTATTTCCTTGAATCTCCCCATTAACTCTGTAAGGCAGGTACCAATTGGTCAATTTTTATAGATGAGCAAGCTGAGGCTCAAAGAAATGAAGTAATTTGTCTGAAACACCCTATGTAGGAGTGGCAGAACAGTGTTTGAACTCAAATTCTTGTCATTACTTGTATTTATTAATATAGTCATGTGCTACACAATGTTTCAGTTAACAATGAATTGTGTATCCAGCCGTGGTCCCATAAGATGATAATACTGTATTTTTACTGTACCTTTTCTATGTTTAGATACACAACTATCTATAACTGTGTTACAATTACCTACAGTATTCAGTACAGTAACATGCTATGCAGTTTTGTTGCCTGGGAGCAATAGGCCATACCCTATATCCTAGGAAGGTAGTAGGCTATACCGTCTAGGTTTGTATAAGTATGTTCTATGGTATTCACGTGATGATGAAATCACCTAAGGATGCATTTCTCAGAACAGATCCCCATTGTTAAGCGATGCATGACTGTAATTAAGATTGGCATCATGTCATTAAATAAAATCCACAGAACTATTGGAAAAGTCAAAAGGTGGGTCAGCCTTAGTTGGTGTGCTCGTGTTTTCAAACTGTATTTAAGGAAATAAAAATGGCTGTGGAACAGAGCACTTTGGGGCATGATAGAGAATTCATTTTGTTGAAGTGGGATTTAGGCTTTTTCCTTTTCCTTTCCTTTCACGTTTGCCTTCTGAGCTGCCACTAAATTTTAGTGCTTTCTTTTAAGCATGGAGTGTGTATCTGTTTGCCAAAACAGGAAACTGAAATGGTTTCACATGCTTCATCGACTGTAAATTCCATTCTGGAAATCCCCACAGAAATTAAAACCATGATCACTGACCCCATAATTTCCCAAACTTTCTAGATAGAGCTTTACATAGTCTGATGTTCTTAAAGGTGAGAAAACTGAATTCTGGAATCTTTTATAACTGCTTTAATCCTGGGTGCTATAAGAAATGGGTGGATCAGCTGCCTTGAAATAATTTTTTTATGTTTACTTTAGCAACTTATGAAGTTGGAATTGAAGAACTCCAAAAGGTATTGTTTCTCCTTACCAACATTGTAACTAAAAGTAAAATAAGCATGCAAGGTTGATTCTAAAGTAGTATCTTTTAGAGGGAAAAAATGTCTTTGTTTTCATTTTTCCTCCTATTTCTGAGGATTTTCCAGACTCCAGCTTCTAAGAGTCTGCACTTTGAGCCCTGTTACTGTCAGAGACAAAAATGTGTGATAGGATGGGAGGAAATGGTCCCAATTCATCCATAGCCCTTTTCTGTGGTGGGCAGTGACAACTAGCTTTTAATAACTATGACTTCCAGTGAGAAGAGTTCTATGGCACAATCCAGGTTTGTATATCCTGGCTTTCAGACCCCTTAGGGCATGCTTTCTGGGCTCCTGCTAGACATGGTGTCAGGTGCCACCTGGAGGCAGCATAGCAACCTGATTAGGGCCCAAGCAGAATCACTGCTGGCCTCAATCCCAACTCCTGGCTATGTGATCTTGAATGCCCATTTCCTCACCTGCAAAATGGGGATAATAAAGAACTCACATCTGAGGTCCTTGTGAGAATGAAAATAAGATAAATGAAGGTATACAGCTTATTAGTAAGTGCTTGAAACAGAGCATTTCACCTCTCTGAGACTTAGATGTGTCCTCTATAAAATGGTGTATTCTTGGCCAGGCATAGTGGCTCATGCCTATAAGCCTAGCACTTTGGGAGGCCAAGGCAGACAGATCACTTGAGCCCATGAGTTCAAGACCAGCCTGGGCAACATGGTGAAATACTGTCCCTACAAAAAAAAAAAAAAATACAAAAATTAGCCAGGAGTGGTGGTATATGCCTGTAGTCCCAGCTACTCGAGAGGCTGAGGCAGGAGGACCGTTTAAGCCCAGGAGGTGGAGGTTGCAGCGAGCCGATATTGTACCACTACACTTTAGCCTGGGCAGTAGACAGACTGAGACCCTGTATCAAAAAAAAAAGAAAAAGAAAGAATGAAAAGAAAGAAAGAAAGAAAGAATGAAAGAAAGAAAGAAAGAAAGAAAGAAAGAAAGAAAGAAAGAAAGAAGGAAGGAAGGAAAGAGGAAAGAAAGAAAAAGAAAGAAAGAAAGGAAAAGAAAAGAAAAGAAAGAAAAGAAGGAAAGAAAAGGCATATTTTCCATGAGGACAGGAAGCATATGTCTTGTGGTTACTGTATCTGCAGTAGCAGATGCTCAATAAATAAAGGGACCAATACTTGTTTCACTGAATATCTGGGAGAAGTAAGGCAAACACAGTATGTAAGCACTGTGTAAGCTCATAGAAGGCCCTTACCCAGTGTTTTAATGGGATCAGTTAAGGTTCTACTCTTTTCTCACTGGGTACATTTAGTCTAGATCCTTCATCTCTCTGTTTTGGTTCTCTTATGCTTGCTGGTAAGGATTATTCATTTGTGGATACACTTTGTCACTAGAAAAATATGAATGATTATTATTTCTATTAATGGCAGTAGAAATAGCCTATTAAAATGCTTCATGTACCTGGCAACATCAACAAATAATAAACTGTTCTGCACAAATGAACTTGCCAAGTAAATGAATTTTATCCCATTTTATCCCAATTTTCTGTTTTAAGTAAAACATACAATTATTTTTAATTTTTAAATCTTTTAACTCTCATACATGTTTTGTGTTTATCTCTGTATTTTTAAGCTCAGTGAGTGGAATCTGATCTCTTCCTTTCTTAATGACTTGGAATATTCTTGACTATAAGGGACTGAGTCAACATAGTTTATGCTCTTCTTTTGAGATGCTCTTGAGCCTTTGCAGAAGAACTAGTTCCCTTCACACCAAACTACCACAAGTCAGTTTTTTGTATTCTTTTCCCTTTTTTTCTACTGTCACGATCTTTGTGTCTAGCAATGAGTTTTTCATGTGGTCAAACATGTACCAAGTCCCTCTGGTGTGATAGCACTTGTGCATAGACAGTAGTGCTTAACCCTTATAGTTACCCTGTGAGCTGATATCACTGCTCCCATATTACAGATGACATTAAGGTTCAGAGAGGTTTAGTAACCTGTAAATCATGTAACAAAGATATAAAACAAGGTCTGTCTGACTTGTCATTCTACCAGTGCTGCATCTAATTTGCTAGAATTATGTGTAAAATAAGAACCAATAGTCTCTGAATAATGGTTTCCAGGGCTGCCCTCAAAGGAGAGTATAATGAGCTATGATACCTGGATTTTGTGATGGCATTTTAGATGCTTAGATATTTTCTATTCTTCTCAGAGTTCTTAGACAGATTCCAAATAATGAATGTCACCAGATCTATAATCACTGAATAAATGAGGGGCTACATTGTGATCATTGGGACATAATTTTAATGGAGCCAAATCTAGATCCTGCAAGATTTGAGCGGTGATCACAGGGCACATGATCAGCGAGTAACGGAGAAATTCCAGCATTACTTGTGCACTTGTGAATACCAATTTGCCCAGTAAAATATTGCTTAAATCCCACAAATTCATATTTTCTCATAGGATTTAGAAGTTATTTACGTTTCCGATGCATTTTGGGAAAGGTGTGCATACAACAATTTTTCTGAGTCACATCATACATTCCTTTGGGCATGACCTATAACTTCAGAAATGCTTGTTTTCATTTCTGATTGATCTTCAGCCCCACTGCAACAGTTCCTGGAACTTTCTGTGGTCAGTGTCTGCCTTTGCTCTCTACTGAGGCTTCATCCCCCTCACCTTTTGGTGTAGTCTCTAATGATCTGTAACCAAACAACAGAGCCTGATTCAGGTTGATTTATGAAAATAACCATTTTCCACTTTACTTTCAGCCTGGGAAGAATTTTCCCTATCCAGAACCTAGGTGAGTTTTATCTTTCAAAAGAAAAGCACCTGTCCAAGCACTGACTTTCTGATGACTGAACTAGTTTTCCTCTATGGGCCAGCTATGTTTCCAAACTGAGCTAGCCTGGTTCAGTTTCCCCGGCACCTTGCAAGGTGCCTAGTACAGAGGAAGTGATCCATGATCCTGCCTTGCCTCCCCCTCTTATCTTGTTCTAGCCCATGCTGCACTCAGCAAACATTTACTGAGTACCCAACATGTGCCAGATATGTGCTCACCAGTGGGGCTTTGGCAGTGATGGAGACCTCGCTATTGCTTTCAGGATCTCCTGAATTAGTGGGAGAGTCACACACTCAAACAGGAAAATAATAATAACATGAATTCCAAAGAACTGACAATTTCTGAAATGCACCATGCTGTTTGAAGTCTCTTTGCCTTTGCTCTTTTAAGTCATTGATTCACCCCAATTTAACAGTCTGGCAAGCTTCTACTAATCCATCAAGCACCCCTCATGTATGAACCCTTCCTTCATTCCACTCCCTGAGAGAAGTGACCAATCCCTTGCCTGTGGTACCACTGTAAGGTCTGTTTGCACAGTATGTTTGCACAAATGCCACTGTATGTAGTTTGCTAACATGAGAATTCATCCTCCCCTCCCTACTCCCCTTCCTGTCTGGGAGCTCCTTGTATGTAGGGCCAATGTTTTAATGTTTTTGGTGTTCCTGGTACCTCTCACACTTCTTGGGTCCAGAGGAATGCCCTGGCACATAGTAGTGCTCTTACCTGCCTCTTCAGAGTCTGTTTCTAGCCCTTCTCCCTGGAGTTATTCTAATATATTTTTAAAAAGCATGGTTGATGAGCTCTGGAGAAGCAAATATCAAAATTTCCTGGTTGAATCTAAAAACGTGTGCTGAATCATGGAGAAAACCTGCTTTAGCTGGATGGGCTACCTTCCTCTCTCTCCCTGAGTTCCTGCCTGTCCCTAAATTTATGACTTTCATAAATACCTTGTAGCACTAACACAGTGCTGGTCACATGGTAAGGCACAGGTCAAATGATTCATTATTTAGTTCAACATTTATTGAGCTTTTACTCTTCAGATGCTGCTAGATTCTGAGGTACAAAACTGAATAGAATATATTTTCTACCCTTGATCCAAGATGGGAGGGGAAGCCAGAGTAGTTGGGAGTGAGGGGTTACTTGGAGGGTAAAATGACCAAATAAATAGGAAATCACAATAAAATATTATCACTGCTATGGAAGTTTAACAACACAGAAGTGAGGTGCAAAAACCAGCTTTTCCTATCATGGATTACACAGCATTAATGCTGGAGTTACACATGTGAATAAGATAGTTCTGCCTTGATTTTTAGTGGTTGACAAGGCAAAGTGGAGGGACTGGAGATAGATCCATAGATAGATGTATTGTAAGACAATATGGAAGAACAAAGTGTTAGAAGAGTAGAGAAGGTATGACTGCTTGGGAGAATCAGGGAAGCATTCTCAGAGGTAAGATGATTTAGCTATATCATGAAGGGCATTGTATTTACCAGCAGTATAAGATGTGGAAGGCATGTCTAAAGAAAAATAATAAAAAAGGAGAGTTGCTCAAATAGGGTGGTGGGTTTGAGGAATTATGAGAGTCTAGACTCAAGCCAAAGTGGAGGTAAAAAGCAGCAGGAGATGAGTTTGGAAAGAAAGGTACGAGCCAGATCACGATGAAACTTAAGTTTTATCCTATAGGCAATAGGGAGTTAGAAGATTTTAAGCAGCAATTGACACTGTGGCATTAATTGGAACAGGCAGAAACTCAAGGAAGCTATGTATATAATTGATCTGATCCTAGTCCCTTCATCTAAGATAAATGATTCATATTTGTTCAAATCTATTTTTCCCATTCATTTCATTTAGGATTGGACAGTACACTATCATTTAAACACTCTAAGCTTCATTTTTTTCCTGGTATCTCTTCACATTTCAGTGCTAAACATGAAGATAAAAAAATGAAGGAAAAACAACCATGTGAATTGAAACCTAAAAACACAGAAAAGGAACCATATTCAAACCATGTTTTCAAGGTACCTATGTTCTACGGTTCCTGCAGTTTAGACATATAACAGATCAGTTCATGGGGGTGACTTTATATGGCCTGAGAGAGCTCTTCAGAGAGACAGAGTTAGAAAAGGCAATGGGCATTTGATATTGTATCAAGGAAATAAATGTAACAATGACACTAAGCTCCAGCCCCTAATTTTCCACTTTTTAGCCATGAAGCCGACCTTAGAAGCAGGGCTGGGACTAGATTAAGTCCAACAAGAAACCCAGGGTGCAAACTATAAGGCAGTACCCACTCTCAGGTGCCATCCCTGCCCTTGCACTACCCTGGAGTGAGAGTTTCCTTAAACGTTGTGCCCTAAGGCCCTGCTTAGAAGAGTGACTTGTCTCTGAGCTCAGTTACCTCATCTATAAATGAAAATAAATGATTCCTACCCAATTACCATCCCCATTCCCATGCCAATTCTACCTCGTTTGTGGTGATAAAATAATGTGCAAGAAAGTGTTTCATAAGCCATAAGCTACCATACAAATGAAATGTATTCTTGTTGCTTTCATTAATATTAAATATGGTGAATGTGTGTATATCCATATCCAACTGACCCCATCTGCTTCAAAGCAGTTGGGTGGCAGGAGGCTTAAACAATAGACACCACCAGGGCTATTGCCAGTACTCACATTAGATACCTGTTTGAGATGTGCCTATCTTTTAAGATGCAGTTGTCCCAGTCCCATCTGCAGAAGTAGGGTAAGTCAAACAGCATGTTGGCTGTATGAGCCTGAACTGGCATGTAGGTCCAGAGGTTGGGCTGGACCATGTTGGGTGTTCAGAGAGCATCAGAAAGCAGCATAATTCAAAGGATGGAGTAAGTTGCTAATTAAGAAAGACAAGGTCCAGAGCCAGGGGAGCAGCACTGGGTGTGAAAGCCAAGCCATCAATGGCTGTCAAGTTAGAGATCAGGAATGGTTTGATTAGGAGCATATGAGAGGGCAGGAGAGATACATGACTAAGGATATTAGCCATGAAAAATCACAAGCTCTGCTCTTTTTCAATGCTGGCTATGTGGCGTAAGCCAGATATGGGCTCAAACTACTAACGAAGAGTCACTTCCTTCTTTTATGGAGTGAGTTTGGGTTCCAGAAATTGTTAAATGTGATTTAGAATATGTTAGGTGAATGAGGGGCTGCTTTCATTATGGGACTACATTGAAGGATGGTGGTCACTATATTTCTGCAAAATACTGACTTCATTACTTTCTTGTCAATTTTCCCCATTTATACATTTAATTCTTGGTACTATGACCTAAAAGAATGCCCCTCCTCTTATTCTTCTGACAGTTTCCCTAAGATTCCACCCAAAACTCAGGATAATCCACTCCTTATGTCTATTAATTACATTAGCTTTTCCCAAGTACTTTCAAATGTATTATCATAGTCAATCCTCATCTCTACTCTGTTGTAGTCAGAAGGACAATTACCTTTCTCTCATTGGACAATTATAAAACAGTTAGATGGCCAAAAATACTCTAATTTTCTCTCTCTCCAGGGTCTCGTCCTGTCAGTCTATCCAGAACATTTTGAAATGTAAATGTGATCAGGGTTTTCCCTGGCCTGACTCCTAATGGTTAAGAAATAAAGCCCAAACTCTTTGCTTTGCATGCAAGACCCTTCATAACTCAGCCCTATTCTCATTTACCTTTTCAACCTCATCGCCAGGCTGTCTTCCCTTATCTTTTTCCTTCAACTCTTACCTTATCAGCAGCCTCCTTGCTACCCTTATAAGGACACAAACACTTCCCCAAATCCCCTGTGCCTTTTTTTTGTGCTGATTTATCTGCCAGATACTCCTTTATCCACTCTGTCAATCTCCTACTGACATTTGGAAAATACAATTTAATAAAATCTGCTTTTCGAGGTCTTCTCTAACCCATCTCCCAGCCAAGAGAACCAACCTCCTCATCCTCTCTGTTTCCAAGACAGTGAGCAATACTGCTGTAAATAACACTCATCACATTATACCCTAATTAATCATTTGCATGCATTATCTCCAAGACCAATGTGTTAAGAAACTCTGTCTCTACTTCTAGAGCTTAGCATGTTGTCTTGCCTTCTGTAAGTGCTTGACAAATGCTAGAGAAAGGGAGTGAAGAAAGAAGTGAGAAGGAACAGAAGAATGGTGGGTGGGAAGACAAAATGTAGGCAAAAAGAAGGAAATGAAAAGGAATACATAGCATCCCTTGGAACAAGGTTCTGGGGTCAAGTCCTGCCTAGGTAGATTACTAACTGTGGAACCAGTGACCAGTTACTCAACCTCTCTAAACTCTTTATCAAGAGAACTGATGATACTTTTCTCATGAGGTATCATGATGATTAAGTTATATGGAATATAAAAAGCCTGCCCTATAGTCAGTACACCCTGTATCCTGACTGCTTCCTGTGAGCTGCCTCTGTGCCAGGCATTCATTGAACATTCAGAGGTAATGAAGGATATAGTATGCACCTTCAGGAAACTTAGAGTCTAGTAAGATATTATTCAATGTTAAATAAATGATAAATAATTGTTATCCATGAGGAATGAATGAAAAACTGTACAAGTAAGCAAAGAACTGATTAGGTAAGTCACAGCCCTACAGTATTCTCCCTTTTGCATATGTTTAGGTAGATGCCTGTGAAGGGACACCTGAAAAAATTCAGATGACCAACGTCCACACAGGTAGAAGGAACATGTTGGCTGGAAAGCAAGAGGCCATGATTGACATCATCCAGACAAATCCCTGCCCTGAGGGCCCAAAGCTGGCCAGGCACTCCCAAGGCCACTGTAAGTTGCATTTCTTTCTGATCTTCTTCATCATTACAATTTGTTTTATAGCTGAGCATGGCCAAAATTTTAATTTATTTTACCAATATTTATTGAACATCTATTTTGTGCCAAGCAACTTGCCCTAGTGAGGAAGCTGTGCAGTAGTGGAAAAAAACACTGAATTGAAAAGCAGAAGTCTTGAGTTCAAACCTAAGCTCTAATACTTAGTAAGCTGTGTGGTAAGTGACTTCATATTCCTGCAACTCAATTTCTTCATTTATAAAAAGAGATCATCATAATATGGACCTCACAGGGCTTTTATGAGGACCAAATCTGACAGTATATTATATGATAGGTACTCAGCAAATGTTTGTTCTTTTTTTTATATATATACTAGCTCCTGTTGTCTAGGCTCACATCATCATTGACATGTACTGGTGATACACTATGGTATCATTTGTTGACTTTATTCAGGTTGCATTTTACCTGCGTGTTAGTCGGTACCCTTGATTGGAAGCAACAGTGATCAAACCATACTATGTTAAACACAAAAAGAAAAGGAGGTTCACCTAGCAGAAAGTCTAGCCATGGTTGGATCCAGGGACACAAACAATATCATAGTGACTTGGTATCACTTTTTCCACTCCTGGTTTTGCTACCCTTTCAGTTGACACTTCAATAGCAACAGAACGGCCACAGTCATAGGATCTGGAATAAAGCATTTCTATACTAACCCCGTGATTTTGGAAAATGTACTTACTTTCATGTGCAAATGGTGATACTACTACTAATTTCCTAAGGCTATTTGTCAATGCATATAAAGTTTCTGGATCATATATTAAGTAACTATTAGTCTTTTTCATTTATTTTTATTTTGAAAAATTATACCATGCCTTACATTGCAATTCATGATTTATGTGTTATCTCCCATGGCACGCCGTAGGCACCTTGAAATCACAGACCATTTGGTATTTTTTTTCTGTATCTCTGTAACCTGGCTAAGTATCGAGCACACAGGAGAAACCCAATTTAATTTTGTAGAATGAAAGGATTAATCAAACTTCAGTGTCTAAAAATATGGTGGACTAGGCAATATGAATGACTCTCTTGACTAAAACAAAGTGAAGAATAAATTTTTTAAAACATTCATAAAAGTACCACAGAACTGATTTATAAAGAAAAGCACCCACAGGCCGGCAGTAACCAGGAAACCTGGGAGGTGCATGCCAAAGCTAACTTTTGCCTTGATGATTTTTGCTGAGATCCAAATCCCTATTTAGTTTCATCCCAGATTTCAAATAATCCCCTCAAAATATTCTTTACATGTTAACAATTGATAGTCAAAAATAACCAAACACAAGGAAACAACTCACAGTGAGGGAAAACCAGTGGAACAGATAGCAGAACCAACCTACAAGATATTGCAGATATTAGGATTATCAGGTATAACACATAAGATGTTTAATATGTTTTTAAAATAGAGGATAATATGAATAGAGAATAGCCATATTTTAAAAATATTTGAAAAGGAAAAAATAATAATTGATAAATTGATAAAATGCCAATGATTACATTTTATATCACATTACCTATAGTTGAAGAGAAAATTAGTGAACTAAAAGATAAATCTAAAGAAATTATCCAAAATTCATTCTATAGGGAAAAATGATTTTAAAAAGAGTAAAAGAGAGGATAAAAGTCATGGAAGGTAAAGTGAAAAGTCTAAAATTGTAATAAAATCAGAAAAATCAGAATTCCATAAAAGGATACTGGAAAAGTGAGGAAGAGGAAATAATAGATAAAACAAATACTATCTGAGAATTTTCCAAAATTGTTGAGAGAGATAAATTTGCAAAGCCAGGAACCCTAAAGTTCTCAAGCAGGATAAAAAACAGAAATCTATGCCTAGCCATGCAAAATGAAGAACATTAAAGAATAAGAGAATATCTTAAAAGACCTTAAAAACAGACAAAGGGGAAAAACCAATCACCCACAAAAAAAAAAAACACAACTGAGTTCTGACTGCTGATTTCTCCTGTGTAACAAGAATATAATTTTGCTGAAAGAGATTAAATATCTACCTGAAATTTTATGTCTCATAAAAATGCCTTTCACAAATGAAAGAAAAATAAGATGTTGTCAGACAAATAAAAACTGGGACATTTTATTGTCCAGATAAAATGCACTGAAGGAAATTCTAAAGCATGTACTTCAGGCAGAAGGAAGATAATCACAGATAGAAAGTTGTGGATGCAAGAAAAAAAGTTAAGCAAAAGCATTAATTCAACAAAATAACGTCAAATTGAGGAAGGAGCAAAATATTATAAAATATTGAACATTCATAGTGCTTATATTGAGAAGGTGATTAAAGTGTCCTAAGGTTGATAATTGTTTGGGAAGAGAGTAATGGTATTAATTTGCTTTAGCCTTGAAAGAATTAGAAGAGCTAGGATACAATCATTAAAATATACCGTTAAAAGAGTGAGAAGGTAACATCACACATGTACAACCATATGATCTTTGACAAACCTGACAAAAACAAGCAATAAGGAAAGGATTTCCTGTTTGATAAATGGTGCTGGGAAAACTGGCTAGCCACATGCGGAAAACAGAAACTGGACCCCTTCCTCACACCTTACATAAAAATTAACTCAAGAGGGATTAAAGACTTAAATGGAAAACTTAAAACCATAAAAACCCAAGAAGAAAACCTAGGCAATACCATTCAGGACATAGGCATGGACAAAGGCTTCATGACTAAAACACCAAAAGCAATTGCAACAACAGCCAAAATTGACCAATGGGATCTAATTAAACTAAAGAGCTTCTGCACAGCAAAAGCAACTATCATCAGAGTGAACAGGCAACCTTCAGAATGAGAGGGAATTTTTGGAATCTATCCATCTGACAAAGGTCTAATATCCAGAATCTACAAGAAACTTAAACAAATTTACAAGAATAAAACAACCCCATCAAAAAGTGGGCAAAGGATATGAACAGACACTTCTCAAAAGAAGACATTTATGTAGCCAACAAACATATGAAAAAAAGCTCATCATCACTGGTCATTAGAGAAATCCAAATCAAAACCACAATGAGATACCATCTCACGCCAGTTAGAATGACAGTTATCAAAAAGTCAGGAAACAACAGATGCTGGTGAGGCTGTGGAGAAATAGGAATGCTTTTACACTGTTGGTCAGAGTGTAAATTAGTTCAACGATTGTGGAAGACAGCGTGGTGATTCCTCAAGGATCTAGAACCAGAAATACCATTTGACCCAGCAATCCCATTACTGGGTATATACCCAAAGGATTATAAATAATTCTACTATAAAGATACATGCACACGTATGTTTATTGCAGCACTATTTACAATAGCAAAGACTTGGAAACAATCCATCAATGATAGACTGGATAAAGAAAATGTGGCACATATATACCATGGAATACTATGCAGCCATAAAAAAGAATGAGTTCATGTCCTTTGCAAGGACATGGGTGAAGCTGGAAGCCATCATTCTCAGCAAACTAATATAGGAACAGAAAACCCAACACCACACATTCTCACTCATAAGTGGGAGTTGAACAATGAGGAACGCATGTACACAGGGAAGGGAACATCACATACTGGGGCCTGTCAGGGGTGGGAGGCAAGGGGACAGAGAGCATTAGGACAAATACTTAGTGCATGCGGGGCTTAAAACCTAGATGACGAGTTGATTGGTGCAGCAAACCACCATGGCACAACTAACCTGCATATTCTGCACATGTATCTCAGAACTTAAAGTAAAATAAAAAAAAAAAGTTAAAAAAGAGTGAGAAGGTAAGTCACTGGGTCGGAGAAGATATTTCCATTATTTACATATACCGTTTATGTATCAAATATATACATATTTGATAAATGACTCATATTTGGAATATACATCTGTGAATGCTTGGTATTCAGAAAACATAAACTAGAAATCAATTTTTTATAAAAGAAATATAGTGAAATTAGAAAAATATTGAAACAGCCCTTCCCCAAAGAGACCATCCAAAAGGCAAATACACTATGAAAATTCAATTCTGCTACCAAATTGGCTACAATAAAAAAGACTAAAAATATCAAGTGTTAGTAAAGATATGGAGCAACTAAAGCTCTCATTCACTGTGGAGATTGTAAGCTGGGACAACCATTTTGGAAAACTGTTTAGCAGTACTAAGGTTGAACATAATGCATATCCTATGACCTAGCAATTCAGTACTTATGTATATATCCCAATATAAGTGCACAGTTTAATGCACCAAAACACACATACAAAATGCTTATAGCAAAACTTTTTGTAATAGCCCCAAATTGGAAACTGTCCAGATGCCCATAAAAAGTAGAATGGATAAATAAATGGTAACCTATTCACACAATAGAATAAAGTCATCTGAATGAGCAAAAAAAACTATTTGCAACAATATTGATGAATCTCACAAACATAATATTGAAGGAAAGTAGGTGACACCATAGAGTGCATACTAAATTATTCCATTATTAAAACATTCAAAAATAAGTACCGCTGGTATTAGAAGTCAGGACAGTGGTCACTCTTGTGGGTAACTATTAAAAGATAACAAATGAAAGAAAACAAATAGAAAAGAAAACAGAATGGCAGAAAGAGAAGAAACTTTAGTCAGATGAAGATAAGAAAAACATGGAACAAATAAAAATATGTACTAAGATAATAGATAAAAATTTAAAAATATCAGTAAACACTATAAATGTAATGCACTAAATTCACCAGTGAGAAGACACATGCATTCAAATCATTCGAAATTCAAATATATTAAGTACTTTTTATGTGCCCAGCACTGTTCTAGGAAATGGGGGTGTATAGCAGTGAACAGGCAAAAATTCCTTTTCTCACAGAGGTTACTTTCGGATCAGAGGAGACGGACAATAAATAATAAAAGATCTATATTGAATGGTATTAATAGTAAATATGAAAAAATAAAGCAAGCTAAGAGAATTAAAGAAGCAGGTAGAGGTGATAGAGGTTGCCATTTTAAAGTGCTCATAGATTACTTCAAAAACCTCAAGTAGTTGAGGAAGAGAGCCATATGTGTATCTAGGATATGAATGACCTAGGAAGAGAAAAAAAGTGCAAATCCCTGAGGCAGAAGTTGGCCAGATATGTTGGAGGAGCTGCAAGGAGGCCAGTGTGGCTAGAACAGAGTAACCGAGGAAGAGTATAGTAGGAGATGGGGTCACAGAAATAACAAGGGACTTCTGTAGATCACTGCAAGAACTTTAGCATTTACCATAAATGAGATTTTTAAAACCACTGAAAGCTTTTGCAAGTACAAGAAAGGCATGACCTGATTTGCATTTTAAAAAATCATCTGGCTTCTGTCTTGAAAATAAAATGTGAGATAAATCGGGGAGACCGGTTAGGAGGTTATTGCAATAATTTAGGTGAGAAATGGTGGTAGCTTGGAGGAGGATACTATGGTAGAATTGCTGAGATGTATTTGAAATCGGAATATAATTTGAAACTACAGTGGACAGATGGCTTTGGATTGGAAGTGAGAAATGAGAGAGAAATGAATCGAGGATGTCTCCAAGGTTTTGGGCCTGAGCAACATAAAGGATGGAATTGCCCCTTTTATGAGATTGAATAAACTTCAGGAAGAGCAAACTTGCAGAGAGAAATTATGATTTTGGTTTGGAATGTAATATGTTTAGACAACCAAAAGGAAATGGTGTGAAGGCTGATAAAGTATCTGGAATTCATGAGAGATGTCTAAATTGGAGATGTAAATTTGAGAGTCGTCAGTGTTTTTAAAATGAAGGCATAAACTTTTGCATTTGCTTCAGCCAAAAGGAAGGATTGAGGAAGGAAATAAATGCTGCAGACTAAGAAGAAACTGTGTGTGTTCAGCATCTTTATTTTGTATTGGAGAAATTTACTGATAACTCCTTGAGAAAAAGTAGGACCTTATGCCTCTGAGAGCTGACATTCATTGAGATGGTTTGGGGCCTACACGCTCACTGACTTCTTGTCAGAGGATAAAATCTTATTGCTTGGTTCATTTAATTAATAGATACCAGTTAATGTGCTTGTTGTTTATTTCTCAAGTATATTACTTTCTATTTCTGATTAATAGTTCATATCTGAATATGGCTATGAATTACCCATACCCTAAATATTAACCTATGCCAACAGATAAAGAGGTGGCAGTTTTATGGTTATGACAAGTTTACAACTCTGTGAAGTAAGCCAGCATCTACTTGTGCAAACAATCCCTATACATTTGTTAACCTGGCACACTATCTTCTGGCTAACTCCAGAATGAATTAATGAATAATATATATTGATATGTGCTCAATCGACTTGTCTGAGAAATTTTGCTTTAAGAACTGCCGTAAGACTGGATAAGATCATCTAGATGTAGAGAGATAAGCCCCAGGGATGTACCCTGGTAGACTTCAAAGTTTGAGGTCAGGGATTAAAGGAAGAACCATCAAAGAAGGGAGTTACTAGTTTACTAGGTAACCAGCACCCTTCATAAATATGTATTTAATCCTTGCCAAAACCACATGATTCGGTGTTAGCATCATTATCCTCAACTTCAGAGAATCATAACTGAGGCTCTACAAAGTGAAGTGGCTTGCCCAAGGATCATACATACCAAGACTGTAATCCAATTTTAGCCCATTTAATCTGCCTTTTCTTATGCTTGCCTCCACTGCCAGTGATGTGTGTGAATGACTTTATGATGGCAGCTGATGTGATGTTTTTCAGGTTTTCTGGTTTCCTTTCAGGTGGGCATCTGGAGGTTTTGGAGTCAACTAAAGAAACTCCAGACCTAGGGGTCTCTAAGACAAGTTCCATCTCGGAGGAGATATATGATGATGTCGAGTACTCCAGGAAAGAGGTGTAAGTAACATTCCAGTCTTTCAGCAAGATGAATGTGATGAGACTTTAAAGGTACAATAATGGTCTTTGTTATTTTCTCCCATAGACCGAAGCTGAACTACTCTAGCTCACTTGCCTCAAGTAGTGGTAAGTATAGGAAGACATTTCTGAAGTTGCCAGTAGGAATTGCAGAATGCTTCTATGGCTGATTAGTGATAAGATGTCTTTTAATTATTCATATTTTAATAATGCCAATTTGTGGGAAGCTAAGAGAAGCAATACCAAGATATGTGCTAACAGCAATACCAAGGTATGTGCTAATAAATGCATTTAGAATCAGGAACATGAAGATGCTGGTAAGAGCATTCTTATGGTAAAAGTGAGTTTACTTCCTTCCTGATCTTTTCACAGTGTAAGTCTGATTATAGGACTGTTTTTACTTAAAACACTTTCTTGGCTTTCCAATACTTTTAAGATTGGCTTCTGACATGATCTAGAGTCCTTGACTAACCTACCCCTACAGACCTCTGGAGCCTCATCTCACACTGTACTCAATCTTCATCTTTGAGACCCAGTTATGCTGACCTTCTTTTAGCTTGTATAATTTGCCAAGCTCCAACAGCAGGATATTTTCATATGCTTTTCCCTCCCTTTCCGGAATGCTCTTTCCTCCCCTGGGTACCTTTGTTTCACTGACTCTTAATCTTCTAATCTCAGCTCAATCATTATTTCCACAGGGAATATTCTCCTTGGTGTACAATCTCATAGTACCATGGACTTCTTTTTCATAGTACTTGTCACAGTTGTAATTTTATACTTATGTGACTTTTTAATTAATGTCTCCCCTCCTAGATTATTACCTTCTTTATACATACCATTTTCTCCAGCCCCTAGCATAATGCCAAGTACATGTTAGATATTCAAAAAAATCTGTTGAATGAAGGAATTCATGAATGAAAAAGTAATGGGGAGGTATTGGTCAAAGGATACAAAATTTCAATTAGGAGAAGTACCTTCAGGAAGTTTATAGTACAACAGTGATTATAGTTAATAACAAAAGTATTATATACTTGAAAATTGCTGAGAGTAGATTTTAAAATTCTCACCACAAAAAATATGTGAGGTAATGAATACATTAACTGGCTTGACTTAGTCATTCCACTATGTATACAATTATCAAAACATGTTATATATCATAAGTATATATAATTATTATTTGTCAATTTTAAAATAAATTTTAGAAAAAGAAAAAGCAATGGAGTGGAGAGAATCAAATGTTACTCTGATTGATCTTAGAATCTCAGAAGTTTAGAGGGAAAAACAACCTTAAATATCATTAAACCCAGTACACTCATTTTAAAAAGAAAATTGAAACATAGAGAAGTGACTCCTCTAAGATCATTGTGTGTTAAAGTTGAGTTTTGAACCTAAAAATCCTGACCCTGATATTCAAAATTCTTTCCATTAGACTCTGTTTCAGGATTGAATTAAAGTATAACTGTGTATGTTAAGCTTATGTGTTGGGCTAGGCCAAAGCCATGCTGTGAAGGGAGAGATTATTCAAGATATATCTCATTTTCCATGGTTGCCCCAGCATTCAGCGCAATGCCTGATGCTTAGTAAATTCTGATTGTTATGTATTAAATACAGGAAGGAGGGAGGGTGGAAGGAAGGAATCTATTGAAGAACCAACTTTCTTTGACTAAATCAGTTCAAATTTGGAATCAGGTGGAAATGAGTCTTAATTTTCATTTATACATACTTTTATAGAGGTTTAAGTATTTTTACCATATGCTTTTAAAAACATGTGGGTGAGTTTCAGTAAAAACTATTTAACAAAAGAAAGATCAAAGTACCTAGCATCTAGTAAGTATCTAATACTTTTTGTTAAATATGAATCTGAACTATTGCTATTATAATGAATATAAGTAGGGTTTTCTTCTAATTTCAGAAGAAAATAGAGAACTGTATGAAGATGTCTACAAAACAAAGAACAACTACCCAAAGATAGAGTGAGTTTCTCTCTTTCTTGGCTTTGTAGGCTAATGACTTCCTGTTAGTCTAGTAAAGCCAGAGTTTCAGTGAGGACCCACCATCCGCCCCCCAGCCCCACTGCCACCCCCGACTCCCATCATCATCTTTTAGGAAAGATTCACACTGAGAGTTATGATAACCTATTGTAATATTACAATTGTGATCAATAGGATACTTGTAATTGTGTACAATCATATACTATCAATATTAAATCACATTGTTCTCGCTTTTGAGAAATACCCATTTCCCAGAGTAAATGATTTTGATATTGGGTTAGAAAATAAGTAATAAAAGAGATGTAAATATTAATAAAACTTGCTTCAATTTTATAGCTGTTTTTCCAGGAACAAATTAATGGTTATGACTTACCTGTGTCTCTGTAAGTTAGTAAGGCTATCTCCGGGATTTGGGCTTAATATAACATGTAGTGTGATTCAGTGTTATCAAGAATAAAATTTGTTCAGATGGGTATTATTCTACAAGTTTAGTTATTAAGGACATGTTGTGGAAAAGAAAACGGCAATGGTCAAAAGCAAGGAGTTTAAGGGTTCAAGGGGAAAAAGACCCTGAACTGGGCATGCTGGTTGGCACGATGTGGGTATATCATTCCCTCACTCTACCCCCTAAAGGCCCCAAAAGGATATTTGACAGAATTGTAATCATCAGCTGGGTAATCAATGTACCATCACTGCTATATTATTCAGTAAATTAAAAATCAATGATAAGAATTTCAAGAGTCAGGATTTTCTATAACGTATTTCTAGCACAGTTTGTAAAGTACATTTCCCTGAGTTATCTTTTCCTCTAAAGGGAAGACTGCTTCATAAAATCTGCAAAATAGAGATTACTTGCAGTAGTTTGTCTTGAAATATCATTACTCCCTTCATAGTTGACTGGTGTGTGCAACTTCATATCACATCTAAACAAAGAAAAGCATAGAACTCAATAAGGCATCTTCTTGCTCTTTCTTGAGTGAGATGTGTTTTGGACATGAAAACAAAGCCTCTGGTTCTTTATTTTTTTTATGGACTCAGAGGTACCTGTGCAGGTTTGATACATAAATATATTGCCTAATGATGAGGTATGGGCTTCTAGTCTACCCATTACCCAAACAGTGAACATTTACCCAATAGGGAACTTTCCAACCTTCATTCTTCCTCCCACCCTCCCGCTTTTTGGAGTCCCCAGTGTCGGTTATTTCCATCTTTATGACCATGTATACCTATTGTTTAGCTCCCACTTACAAGTGAGAACATGTGGCATTTGATTTTATAATACAACAGCCTTCTATCTCTAGTACTCTCTTAAATGCCATGTTACTTATATCCTGTGATTCCTCTCAGTTTAGATGGAAAAGAAGCACTCAAAAGACTGCAGCAATTCTTCAAGAAAGAAAAGGATAGATTTAAAATAAAGAAAACCAAGTCGAAAGAAAACTTAAGGTAAAAAGTCCCTTTAAATCCCTTTCCACGAGGGGATTAACCTGGTAGATACACAAGTTGATGTTCTCCATCCAATCTCAGAAACAGTGAAGGGGATATCAGAAACTAAAACCAAGGGTCTGGCCATCATCTGCCCCTTTCTTGTGAATTTTTGATTGAACTACATGCACAGAGACTAATTAATGAGAAAGTGGCATGCTCCTTTGAAAAAATGGCAGAGAAAGGGTTGAAAATAAGGGTAGAGGGAAAATCTTAAGCGAAGTCCAGAAAGGAAACTTTCCTCATCAGCCTTAACATCCTATTCCTGTTGTTACCACTAAGCATTACTTACCATGTCCTTTTATGCTTTTGGGGCCCTACAAGCCCCAGTAGTTTTTATTTGTCTACTGTTCCATATTTAATTTATCTCCCTTGAGAGCAGCAATATGTGGAAGGGGGAGATGAGCTGCTCAGCTGAACAGTTCGTGTATTGCAAGGTCTTAGACCTGGAAAAGATCCTCTGAGATAACCTAGGCTAACTGCCAGTTTTGAGAGAGGTTCCAAATTCACTAGCACTAGAAAGAGATGTGAGGGGACCTGGATTCTATATTCTAGTACCAGTTCTGCCATTTATTCCATGTACAACTGTGGGCATATCACTTCCTTTATACACCCACAGCATTCCACTTTTCTCCTGCATATAATGGAAGGGGGACCCTGGAGACGCTTTGCAGGCAATAGATAGATATAGATGTAGATATTCAGGTGCACCTCAATTTATGATGGGGTTGTGTCTCAATAAACTCATTGCAACTCTAAAATATGTTAAGTTAAAAGTCCATTTAATACATCTACCAAACATCATCGCTTAGCCTAGCTCATCTTAAACATGCTTGGAATATTTACATCAGCCTACAGTTGGGCAAAAGCATCTAACACAAAGCCTGTCTATAAAAAGTGTTGACTATCTCATGTAATTTATTGAATACTGTACTGAAAGTGGAAAAAGAATGGTCTTAAGGATACTTGAAGTAGGTTTCTACTGAATGCGTATTGCTTTCACACCACTGTAAAGCAGAAAAATTGGGAGTCAAACCATTGTAAGGCTGGGAACATCTGTGTAGATATACAGACATAGAGATGTATTTTGTGAGGGCAGAAGATGCTAAAATAATTTGCCCAAGGTAATTACCTATAGTGAGATGGAATTATGTTGTTCTACCCTGAAGTTCTTTTTGATTATAAAGCCTCAGAGTTTTGTGGCTTTAAGTTCAACTGTCAATTGGATCTAGATCTACCAAGAGACCCTACAAAACATGAGGTTTATAAATTGTAGTCCTGATATGGAAGAAGAGGGAGTGTGGTCAGCGAGACCCTATGCACAAAGGCAGACCCTGGCCTTAGCAGATTAGATGTTTTCTGAGAGAAAATTATTGGCATGATAACCGGCAGTCCCATAATATTTGATCAAGATGAGAATGCTAATGTTTTAAATATGCAAATCTGATTACCTTTCTCTCAAAACTATTCATTGGCTACATACTACGTTTAGAATAAATATCCAGTTCCTTACCCTGGCAAGTAAATACTTCATGGCTGTCCCCATTCTACTTCTCTAGTTCTGTCTCTCACTAAAATTACTCTCACTACCATCCCATCCACATAGCTATAGATCTCAGACTCTGCCATGGTGTCTCATGCCTCCATGCTTTGAACATGACATTCTCATGGTCTGGAATGTACCTGCCCTCCTCCAGCCTTCTTTTGTTCTCAAAGTTCTAGTTTTCCCTTAAAATTCGATCAAATATTGTCCCTTATTGAATGTCTCCCCTGAACTTCTCTTCCCAAACCTGGATTACCCATTTCCTTTGTGTTCCCATAACATCTTGTGCACATCTTGTGACATCTGTTAATACCAGAGAAACTATTTTTACTTGGAGTCAGAGAATACCAGGGCAAGAAGGGCAATCCAGCATCATCAATATGTTATTGGAGATCTGTCAGCTCATCTTTCCAAACATGGTTTTTTTCCTTAACTCTTTTGTGTCTTTTGTCAATCAACAGTGCATTTTCCATTTTGCTGCCTGATTTAGGTAAGTGCCATTTGCTTATTGCAGACCAAAAGTACTCAGCTTTTGTATATTCAGAGGCAGGGAAAGAGAAATGGTAACCCTTCCTGCATTCCCACATTTGATGAAAAATTGCTCTACCAAAATCAAAGAAGATGTTTCACACGGAAGTATTTTTTTACTTTGGAGAAGATGAGTAGTGTTTCTCAAGTACCTACTACATACCATGCCCTGGGGCAGATGTGTTCCTCTTAAAATCCCAGAAAAATAAATGTTATCATCCCTTTTTAGAGAAGCTGTAGGACCATATTTAAGTGATCCAGGATTTGTATTCCAGGCTCTCTGACTATGAAACTCATGCATTTTGCATTCTACCATACTGCCTTTTGAAGGACTTGATATCCTTCATCCTAATTAAGACACTAACTGAATATGATCACATTGCCACCAGCAAACTAACTGAATTGAGAATGGATCATTGGAATGTTGTTTGCTTTTCCATTAAAATAATAGTGCATAAATTAGCACGGTGCTTGACACATAGTAGGCTGTCAATACACGTTCAGTACATTGAATTTGTCAATAAAAGAGGGTCATGTGTTCTGTTGTTTGTTAGTTTTTGTTTAGGGGTTCTAGCTATGTGGCTACCTGGATGTCACTCGAACTTGACAATTCAAAAGTATATTATATTTCATAAATATGAGTTTGCTGAACTAAAAGACAAATGACAATTATATATACCTGATAAAATCCCACATCTCAACATATCCTTGGTCTGTGTTTAAAAGAAAAAAGCTGACCTAGAATAGGCATGCATTGTATCCCCACCCACATTTGAAGGTATTTAATAAAATAAGGGAGTGAATAATTATGAATAATTATACTAGAAGGTCTCAAACTTGTTCAGTGGTGAATCAAATGAAAATCATGTAATTCTATGTAGAGTGCCAAGGAATGTGAATATCCTAAAATGAAAATGCCTAATTATTATTATGCACTGAGTCAGATTCAACATTATGCAAGATTATTGTATAGGAGCAATTGCCAATGATTTGAAATAAAAACCATGGAAGAAAAATCAACATTACTGTTCTATTAAGCTGTTTCTCCCCCCTAGGAGTTAAGAAAAGACCTCTCACTATTCTAGCAGTATAGCATATTTGTTCAATTCCAGAAAGATGGGAACTTAGTCTAAAAATGACTCTTTGAGCAACTCATATTTTTCTGGAACTCTATGTAAAAGCAAATTAATATAAATATATATGTTTTGAGATACTGGGACATCACACTTTTTTTTAATCTTTCAGTTGAATTTCTTCCCAAATAGAGAATATTTTTATTCTTTGATTCTTCTAGCCTATCTGTATTTTATGATCAGATTTTGCTAAAACAGACCTGAAGATGCACCTGGATAATTAGGTAATTGAGTATAATTTGGAAAGTCAGTGCTTATATAAACCATGCTTAATAATGGACTATTTTGATTCTGTCTTGACCCTAGAACTTAAGTCTCAGGAAGTTATTATTTATGATGATGTAGACCTGAGTGAAAAAGAGTCAAAGTAAGTAATTTACCTTATTGGTCATCCCTGCTGATATTTGACCCATTTCCTGATGCTTTCTTAATTATGATCACAGAACCATCTTTTCAGATCCTTGGAGATTGAATGAAAAGTCAACTTAAGATAGTCTTCTCACTAAGAGGGGAAAACACTGAATAACATATATGATCCAAAAGTGGTAGGTGACCACAAAAGGCATTGGAGGTTTTGAGTTTGTTTCTGTTTTTTATTTTTGAATTCAGACTTGAAACTCATTTCAACACATTTTTTAAATTATCTCCAATGTACATGACAACATGAAGGATAGCAAGCACTATGTGACAGAACGTCTGTATTCAAGGACTAAATAACTATAATTTATCAAAAAAGATGGCTGCATGCAGTGGCTCATGCCTGTAATCCCAGCACTTTGAGAGGCAGAGGTAGGTGGATTGCCTGAGTCTAGGAGTTCAAGACAAGCCTGAGAAACATGGCAAAATCCCATCTCTACTAAACTAGCCAGGCATGGTGGCACATGCCTGTAGTCCCAGCTATTCAGGAGGCTGAAGTGGGAGGATGGCTTGAGCCTTTGAGGCAGAGGTTGTAGTGAGCCGGGATCACACCACTAGACTCCAGCCTGGGCAATGGAGACAGGCTCTGTTCCAAAAAAAAAAAAAAAAAAAGCCATCCTTAAGTTTGATGCTCCCTCTCCAGTCACTTATTATTTATACTTTCCCTCTTAATCAATTGGTTAAAAATAAAAGTCTCCTCTCTTCATGTTTGATTCATCTTTCCTTGCTCACTGCAATTAGGTTTCCTATTATACAATTGAACTTATTTTTGGTAAGGTCACTAATAACTCCTTTGTTAAATCCAACAGATACTTTTAAGCCTTTATTTGTCTTCTCTATATCTTAAAATATGAACTATGCCATCCTCCAAAGGAAAAAAAATACTAGTTTTTCCCTAGGTTTCTATGTTATTATTTCTTTGTTATTTGATGTTATTTTTAAGTTGACATATAATAATTGTACATATTTTCCAGGTAGATAGTGATGTTTTGATACACAAAATATATAGTGATAAGATAAAGGTAATTAGCATATTCATCATCAAACATTTATCATTTCTTTGTGTTGGGAATATTCAATATCTCCCTTCTAGCTATTTAAAACTATATGATATATTATTGTTAACTATAGTCATCCTATGGTAGTTGTATTAGCCCATTTTTACACTGCTATAAAGAAATACCTGAGACTAGGTAATTAATAAAGGAAAGAAGCTTAATTGACTCGCAGTTCCGCGTGGCTGGTGAGGCCTCAGGAAACTTACAATCATGGCAGAAGGGGAAGAGGCACATATTACATGGTGGCAGGCAAGAGAGAGAAGAGAAAGTGAAGGGGAAAGAACCCCTTATAAAGCCATCAGAACTCATGAGAACTCATTCACTATAATGAGAACACTATGTAGGAAACTGCCTACACCTCCAGTCACCTCCCTCCCTCGACACATGGGGATTACAATTCAAGGTGAGGTTTAGTGGAGACACAAAGCCTGACCATATCAGTGGTATAGAACACTAGAACATATTCCTCATATCTCACTGTATATTGTATCCTGAACTAATCTCTCTCTATTCCCTACTTTCCCAGCCTTTAGCATCCTCTGTTCTACTCTTTATTTCTATGACAGCAACCTTTCTTAGCTTTCATATATGAGTGAGAACATGTCGTGCTTAACTTTCTATTCCTGGCTTATTTCACTTAACATAATGTCCTCCACTTCTATCCATGTTGCTGTGAATGACATGATTTCATTCTTTTTTATGGCTGAATAGTGCTCTGCCATGTGTATGTTTATCACATTTTCTTTACCATTCATTTGATGTTGGATACCTAAGTTGATTCCATATGTTGGCTATTGCATATAGTGCTGCAATAAACATGGGAGCATAGATGTCTCTTTGATATACTGATTTCATTTCCTTTGGATTAATACCCAGCAATGGAACTGCTGAATCATATGATAGTTCTATTTGTAGTTTTTTAGGAACCTCCATACTGTTATTCATAGGTGCTGTACTATTTATATTCCCACTAAGAATGAAGAGAATTTCCTATTCTCCACATCCTTGCTAGCATGTGATTTTTTTTTTGTCCTTTTGATGAATGCCATCCTAACAGGGATGAAATGATACCTCATTGTGGTTTTGATTTGCATTTCCCTGGTGATTAGTGATGTTGAACATTTTAAAATATGTTTATTGGTCATTTTATTTTATTTATTTTTTATTATACTTTAAGTTCTAGGGTACAAGTGCACAATGTGAAGGTTTGTTACACAGGTATACATGTGTGCCATGTTGGTTTGCTGCACCCATCAACTCATCATTTACATTAAGTATTTCTCCTAATGCTATCCCTCCCCCAGCCCCTCACCGCCTGACAAGCCCCAGTGTGTGATGTTCCCCACCCTGTGTCCAAGTGTTCTCATTGTTCAATTCCTACCTATGAGTGAGAACATGCGGTGTTTGGTTTCCTATCCTTGTGATAGTTTGCTGAGGATGATGGTTTCCAGCTTCATTCCATGTCCCTGCAAAGGACATGAACTCATCCTTTTTATGGTTGCATAGTATTCCATTGTGTATATGTGCCATGTTTTCTTAATCCAGTCTATCATTGATGGACATTTGGGTTGGTTCCAAGTCTTTGCTATTTAAAAGACACAGACTGGCAAATTGGATAGAGAGTCAAGACCCATCAGTGTGCTGTATTCAGGAGACCCATCTCATGTGCAAAGACACACATAGGATCAAAATAAAGGGATGGAGGAAGATCTACCAAGAAAATGGAAAGCAAAAAAAGCAGGGGTTGCAATCCTAGCGTCAGATAAAACAGACTTTAAACCAACAAAGATCAAAAGACACAAAGAAGGCCATTACATTATGGTAAAGGGATCAATTCAACAAGAAGAGCTAACTATCCTAAATATATATGCACCCAATACAGGAGCACCCAGATTCATAAAGCAAGTCCTTAGGGACCTACAAAGAGACTTAGACTCCCACACAATAATAATGGGAGATTTTAACACCCCACTGTAAATATTAAACAGATCAATGAGACAGAAGGTTAAAAAAGATATCCAGGACTTGAACTCAGCTCTGCACCAAGTGGACCTAATAGACATCTACAGAACTCTCCACCCCAAATCAACAGAATATACATTATTCTCAGCACCACATCGCACTTATTCTAAAATTAATCACATAATTGGAAGTAAAGCACTCCTCAGCAAATGTGAAAGAACAGAAATCATAACAAACTGCCTCTCAGACCACAGTACAATCAAATTAGAACTCAGGATTAAGAAACTCATTCAAAACTGCACAACTGCATGGAAACTGAACAACTTGTTTCTGAATGATTACTGGGTAAATAAAGATGTTCTTTGAAACCAATGAGAACAAAGACACAACGTACCAGAATCTCTGGGACACATTTAAAGCAGTGTGTAGAGGGAAATTTATACCACTAAATGCCCACAAGAGAAAGAAGGAAAGATCTAAAATCGACACCCTAACTTCACAATTAAAAGAACTAGAGAAACAAGAGCAAACAAATTCAAAAGCTAGCAGAAGGCAAGAAATAACTAAGATCAGAACAGAACTGAAGGAGATAGAGACACACAAAAAAACCTTCAAAAAATCAATGAATCCAGGAGCTGGTTTTTTGAAAAGATCAACAAAATTGATAGACCACTAGCAAGACTAATAAAGAAGAAAATAGAGAAGAATCAAATAGATGCAATAAAAAATGATAAAGGGGATATCACCACCAATCCCACAGAAATACAAACTACCATCAGAATACTATAAACACCTCTACCCAAATAAACTATTGGTCATTTTAATGTCATCTTTTGAGAAATGTCTGTTCATTTGCCCATTTTTTAATTGAATTTTTTTTTCTGTTTTGCTGTTTGAGTTCCTTGTATATTCTGGATATTAATCACCTGTCAGATTAATAGTTTGTGAATATTTTTCTCCATTCTGTAAGTTGTCTTTTCACTCTGTTGATTGTTTCTTTTACTGTGCAGAAGCTTTTTAGATTGCTGAAATCCCATTTGTTGATTTTTGCTTTGTTACTTGTGCTACTGAGGTCTTAGTCATAAAACCTTTTCCTAGACCAATGTCCTGAAGTGTTTCCCCTGTTTTCTTCTAATAGTTTTAGAGGTTTGGGCCTTACATTTTAAGTCTTTGATCTATTTTTGTTTGATTTTTGTATAGTGTAAGTGGTGGGTGGGGGGGTCTAGTTTTATTCTTCTGTATATGGATATCCAGTTTTCCTAGCACCATTTACTGAAAAGACTGTACTTCCCCCATTGAGTGTTCTTGGAGTTTTTGTCAAAAGCAGTTGGCTGTAGATACATGGATTAATTTCTGGGTTATCTATTCTGTTCCATTGGTTTGTGTGTCTGTTTTATGCCAACACTGTGCTGTTTTGATTACTAGAGCTTTGTAGAATGTTTTGAAGTCTGGTACTGTGCTTTATACAGATTTGTTCTTTTGCTCAGAATTGCTTCAGCTACTTGGGGTCTTTTGTGATTCCATACAAATTCTAAGATTGTGTTTTCTATTTCTGTGAAGAAAGGCATTGGTATTTTGATGGGGATTGCATTGAATCTGTAGATTGCCTTGGGTAATATGGTCATTTTAACAATATTAATTCTTCCAATCTATGAGCATGAGATGTCCTTCCATTTGTTTACATCATCTACAATTTATTTCATCAGTGTTGTGTCATTTTCTTTGTAGAAGTCTTTCACCTCCTTGGCTAAATTTATTCCTATGTATTTTTGTTTTTTGCAGCTATTATAAACCAGATTGCCTTCTTGATCTCATTTTCAGCTAGTTCATTGTTCATGTATAGAAACGCTACTAATTTTTATATGTTGATTTTGTATCCTAAAACTTTACTGAATTTATCAGTTCTAAGAGTCTCTTGGTAAAGTTGTTAGATTTTTCTAGATATAAGATCATGTCGTCTGCAAACAGGGGCAATTTTACTTCCTCCTTTCTCATTTTGATGTCCTTTATTTCTTTCTCTTGCCTCATTGATCCTGCTGGAACTTCTAGTACTTTGTTGAATAAGAATGGAGAGAGTGGGCATCCATGTCTTATTCCAGAAAAGCTGGAAGCTTTTCCCTGTTAGGTAAGATGTTAGCTGTGGGTTTGTTATATATGGCCTTTATTATGTTGAGGTACTTTTCTTCTATGCCTAATTTATTGAGAGCTTTTATTATGAAAGGATGTTGAATTTTGACAAATGCTTTTTCTGCATCTATTGAAATTATCATATGGTTTTGTTCTTCATTCTGTTGCAGTGATGTTTCACATTTATTGATTTGCCTATGTTGAATGACCCAACTTTGTTGACTGCAGGCATGTTCCTGGTGGTCTGATTGATGGGCATCAATATGACCATGGAGGGGATGATGGCTAGAGAATTTCCGGCTTCACATGATGAAGCCAGTGATTCATGAGCTGAGCTGAAATCTCCCCAGCCTGATACTTCCCTTTCTATCACAGTAACCCTCCATGATAGATTAGAATGGTTCCCAGTTGGCCAGGTGCAGTGGCTCATGCCTCTAAACCTAGCTCTTTGGGAGGCAGAAGTGGGAGGATTGCTTGAGCTCAAGAGTTTGAGACCAGCCTGGGCAACATAGTGGGACCCCATCTCTATTTTTATAATTTAAAAAAATATTTTAAATTGTCTCAGATGATAACATCAAGGCTAAGGGTAACTAACTTGTCCACGCTATTGAGTACAGAGGTAGGTCTGAGATCCAGGTGGCCTGCCCCCAAGCCAGCGATCTTTCCTGCCACCTACCCTCTTTCTGGGGATGTGCTCACCAAGTGAGCCCAGGGGTCAGTGTGTGAGGCTACAGAGGAACAGCAGCCTGGTTGTGTGCAGGAAGGATGTCCTGGGAGTGAGTTGGGTTTTTTTGTTTTGTTTTGTTTTGTTTTTGTAACAGGGTCTCACTCTGTCACTCAGGCTGGAGTGCAGTGGTGGCATGATCATGATTCACTGCAGCCTTGACTTCCTGGGCTCAGGGATATATCCCACTAATATGTTCTTGCATTTCTGGGATATATCACACTACATCATGGTGTATTATCTTTTTGATGTGCTGTTGTATTGAGTTTGCTAATATTTTGTTGAAGATTTTTGTGTCTATGTTCATCAGGGATATCGACCTGTAATTTTCTTTTTCGTATCCTTGTCTGCTTTTGGTATCAGGGTTATGCTGGCCTCATAGAATGAGTTAGGAAGAGTTCATTCTGCTTCAATGTTTTGGAATAGTTTGAGAAGATTTGGTATTAATTCTTTTTTAAAGGTTCAGTAGAATTCAGCAGGGAAGCCATCTAGTCCTAGACTTTTCTTTTTTGGGAGACTCTTTATTACTGATTCAATCTCATCACTTTTATTGGTCTTTTCAAGTTTTTTAATTTTTTCTTGGTTCAATCTCAGTAGGTTGTATATTTCCATGAATTTAGCTATTTCCTCCAGGTTTTCCCATTTGTTAGCAGATAGTTGCTCACAGTGGTCTCTAAGTAATGTCTCTTTTTTCACTTTGACTTTATTTACCTGAACTTGCCATCCCCTCCCTCTCCCCCTCCCCTCCCTCTCCTCCTTCCCCTCCCCTCCACTTCCCTTTACCTTTCCCCCTCTCCTCCCGTTTACCTTTCCTTCTCCCCTTCCCTCTCCCCTCCCCTCCTCCCTCCCCTCCCCTCTCCTTCTCACCCCATCTCTCTCTCTAGTCTAGGTAATGGTTTGTCAATTTTGTTTCTTTTCAAAACACCAGCTTTTTGTTTCATTGATCTTTTGTATTTTTTATCTAAATTTTGTTTATGTCAGCTTTGATCTTTATTATTTCTTTTCTTCTACTAACTTTGGATTTGGTTTGTTCTTCCTTTTCTAATTCTTTGAGACAAATCATTAGATTGTTTTTTGAAATCTTTCTAGTTTTTGATGTAGGCATTTATTGCTATAAACTTGCCTCTTAATATTGTTTTTGCTGTGTCCTATAAGTTTGATATGTTGTGTTTCTATTTTCATTTGTTTCAAAGAATTTTTAAGTATTATCCTTAATTTCTTCCTTCACCCATTGGTTGTTCAGGAGCATGTTGTTTAATTTCCATATATTTGTTTAGTTTCAAATGTTCCTCTTGTTATTGATGTTTAGTTTTAATCCACTGTGCTCAGATGAGATACTTGATATGATTTTGATTTTTAAAAACTTGTTGATACTTGTTTTGTGTCCTAACTTATGAACAGTTCTGGAGAATGTTCCATTAATAATGAAAAGAATGTGTACTATACAGAACATGAGTAACATGTTCTGTAGATGTCTATTAAGTTCTGTAGATGTCTGTTAAGTCCATTTGGTCTATGGTGCAGTTTAAATAGGATGTTTGCTGTTTTTCTTTCTAGATAATCTGCTTAGAGTTGGATGTTGAAGTCTCCCAACTATTATTGTATTGAGGTGTATCTCTCCCTTTTGACCTAATAATATTTGCTTTATATATCTGGGTGCTCCAGTGTTGGGTCCACTGAAGATGGAGCCCCAAATCTGGTCCTTTTGATCTCTATGTTGGTGACTGTTTCAATAAACACACAGTTGCTCAGGCTGAAACCCTAGGTTATCTGTTATTCCTTCTCCTCTTGTGCCTTTCCCTTCCCATCACTCTCTTCCAATAACTCAAACTGTTCCCACTTTTCCCATCCCCAATGCACAGCCACAATTCAGTCTTATTGTTTCTCAACCAGATTACTACAACTCCCTGAATGGCCATCTTACCTCCATTTCAGTTTATTCTCCAAACTTTCTTAAGTGCAAATGTGACCACCTGCCACCCAACAGCTGAAAACTGTTTGGTGGTTAACCATCACTTTCAGAATGAAGTCAAAACTGCTTAGGAAGACATAAAATTTATTCATAATCCAGCCCCTGGCAACCTCTTAGCCTCGCCTGTTCTTCCTGCTTACCCACTATTCCTGTGTTCCATCCATACTGTACTACTTGGAGTTCCTTAGACCGGATATGCTGTCCAGCATTTCCAAACCTTCACATTTGTTCCAACTTCATCAATTCATTCAACAAATATTTATTGAACATGTCCTTTGTGCAAGGCACTGTGCTAGGTGTTGGGTATAGAGCAGTGAACAAAAGAGATATAATTCCTACTCCTGTGGGCTTAGAGTGACTAAATCAATAAACAAATGAAAAAATAAGTCTATAATTACACATTGGAATTTGGTTGCTTTGAAACAGGATTTTTTGAAAGAGAGTGGATATAGGGTTTGTGATGGTAGGGGTTTTAAAGTATGGATAGCAGTGGAAAGCCTCTTCAAGAAGGTGATAATTTAAGAAGAAAAGAATAGTTCTACCTGTAACACACTTTGCCATGTTTTTTGCCTGGCTATTTTATCCCTCGTTATTTAAAATTGAATTCAGATTTCACTTTTTCTAAGAAGCCCTGTCTAACTTTATCTATTTAAGTTAGGTACTCCCTTTTTTATCAAGATATTTTTCTCAGAATTGTAATGGTCTGTTTTCTTGACTTTCTCATCTGCTAGACTGGGAACTCTTTGAGGTAGGGACTGTGGCTTTCATATCTGTATCACGTGCCTGATACCAAAACATAATTTGATAAATTAGTTAACAAAGAAGGACCTGCTATAAAAATGTGCAAGATAACCTGGAAGCTCAGAATAGGTACGCATTACTGTTATTTAGGCGATCAAAAATCTTTGTGCCAAGCTGAAACAGGAAAGACAGGTAACGTTTTGACAGGTGAAGACTGGGAGCAAAAGAAGATGAGAGAAAAGGGAGGGGTAAGAGGGGGAGTAGACAACTGTAAATGGAAAACACTTGTGTTTGGGAAGTTGTGTTGGACCATAAGGCATATATGATCAGGAAAGTGGTGTTACAAACAGGAAATGTAATTTGGCATAAGATGGAAGAGAACCCTGAAATATCAAGTTAGGGTAAGGAATAAATTCTTTTTCTCTTTTGTTTGAGATGAGGTCTTACTATGTTGCCCAGGTTGAAATGCAGTGGCTATTCACAGGCGTGATCATAGCACACTGCACTTTGAGCTCCTGTCTCAAGCAATCCTCTCACTTCAGCCTCCAAGTAGCTGGAACTACAAGTGCATAGCACTGAATCTGGATAAATTCTTTTTCTTAAAAAATCATTTGTAAAAATCAAAAGAAAACAAAAAGTTGTAAAGCATGGTAAAACATGGTAAAACGAATTGCCCTGAACCTATCATTCGACTTAAGAACTAGAACATAACCAATACCTTGGCCTCTTTCCCTTGTATACTTCATGTATCCTTTCCCTCAAGGTGACTGTTCTCATAAATTTGGTGTTTTCATTTCCTTGTTCAAAATAAAAATAGTTTTAACAAACATATGATACAAATATTGTTTCATTTGGGATTTGAACATTATGAAAATGAGACACTGTATATAGAGTTATGTAACTTTTTTATTCAAATATAATATTTCATTTTTCCTTTCATTTTAATGTTCTATAGTATTCCATTGTATGTGTATACCATAATTCATTTATCCATTCGATTGTTGATAAGTATTGAGGTAGATCCTAATTTGGGGCCCTTACAAATAATACTGCCACAGATATTCTTACAGCTCCTGTGAATGTGTGCAGGAATTTTTCTAGAAGATATACTTAGAAGGGGAAAAAATGCAAATTATAGGGAATGCAAATTCATAAGAAAATGCCAACTTGTTTTCCAAAGTGGTCATACCACTATGATTATCCATTTCATTCTCTCTGCTCATCCATTTCCTCCCTTGTACTGTAAAACTTTGAGTGATCAGTTTAAAGGATTGTTGCAATACTTACTTTGAAAACCAAATGAGTTAACATATGTAAGATGCTTAGCATAAGACCTGACACATACATGCTAAAAAGTACTAGTTCTTTCTATAATAAATACCTTCTCCCTTCCCTGCATTCTCTTTTGCCTGGAATCACTAATGTTACATGCTAGTTGGCTTAGCCTTGTTTCACAATGGAGTTCAGTTACATTGTTCATATTTTAGAGGCAAAAAAAAAAACAAAACAAAACTGAGGCTCATAAAGGAGATGAAATGTGATTATAAGCAGGCTGATCTCTTGCATCTGGATTCAAATTTGGATTACCACACATCAGGGGTCAGCAAACTATGGCCTGAGGACCAAATATGGCCTGCCACTTGTTTCTGTGTATAAAGTTGCAACAGTAGAGTTGAAGAGCTGCCATAGAGATAATATGGCCTGCAAAGCCTAAAATATTTATTATATGGCCTTTCCATGGATTATCAAAATATATTTCTAGATGACTTTTTAATTTTTTGTAAAACATAATTGCCCATGAAGTGTTGATGGTTCCATGAATATATAATTCAGTCTTAATTTACTTGCTCAAAATATATTTCTCCTCAGAGATGAAGATAAACTGAAAATGTGGAAGCCCAAGTTTCTGACACCAAAGGAAAAAAAAGAGAAAAACGGTGCTGAAGAATCAGAAAGGTGGGAACACAGAGGCACTTCTATTATAGCTTATCTGCTGCAATTTATACCTCTTACTAGCTGTGTGGCCTCAGATAAGTAATGAAATTTGATTCTCAGCTGTTTCATCTACAAGATGAGAATAACAACACCTACATCATGGTACAGTTGAGAGGATTAAAAGGGACAAAGAATATAAAAATATTAAGTGTCATACCCATGTATCTTCATCATCTTCCTCCCTACTTTTGGTGGATAGGAAGTGAGAGATTTCAAGTAAGCCATTTTCAAACAATGACAAATTTCCAGTTTTCTTTTAGGTGTAAGAACTTCCCTCTCTAAGATATAATGTAAATAAAACACTAATTAGAACTTAAATGTAACTTTGAGAAAAAAAAAGTTAGGTATCATATAGTAAGACTAATTTCCCTAAAATATAATTCTAGTTATGACTACAATTAGTGTTAGAATTTTACAAGAAAATGTTTTACTGAGTCAAGATCTAACCTGCATTCATGTAATTAAATTTCCCAAGTGGTTGTGAGAGGATGTTTTTACTGAGGCAGGTGGTTACTTACTGCTCTCTGATCCCATCTTCTCAATTGCTAGGACATGGGGCAGGATATGAGGTACTTTCTCTACAAATGACTTGGGGAAATATTTGCTTAAATAGTCACTGACATGTGAACATTGTGTAGTCTGTCTGCTCTGGGAAACCTGTTAGAAAAGTCCTACTGGGGTGCACCAAAGGAAACCAGACATTAGTGTCTGAGATTCAGAGGATGGCATTGGATGGCCCTTCTCGTAAGTTTATTTTCTTTAAGTTTAGACTTGATGTAATTTATTTTTCTCAGGCTGGAAAGATGTATTAACAGACTAGAAAAGCAGCTTTCTATCTTAAACTTCATACTTTTACATACATTTGCACAGCATAACAAAACAGAATTCCAAGAGATGAACTATTAGTAACATTTTTGATCTGCCCCCCAAAAAGCTTTTTAGTATGTTGATAACTACAAATAAGTCTTCTTAGGAAACAATTTTCCAGTGCCTTTTTATTTTTTTACAACAGAGTGATATAACAGTATAATTTTATTCTGAACCAAGTAAATTAGAAAACATTACTGTAAGGCTAGTTATTTCTGTATCAATTTCTGTATCATTTTTAAAATGATTTCTACCATAATGTATTCTAACAGTAAGTAAGAAGTATTAGTTCAACCCTTTTATTATTCTTTTATCAATCAAAGATGATGGCAAGTTTAAAGAAAAGTTGGCTAAGGTTATCTGTCTTAGTCTGTTTGTGTTGCTATAAAGGAACACCTGAGGCTGGGTAATTTATAAAGAAAAGAGGTTTATTTAGTTCATGGTTCTGTAGACTGTACAAGAAGCATGACATTGGCATCTGCTTCGGTGAAGGCCTCAGGCTGCTTCTACTCATGGCAGAAGGTGAAGGAGAATGTGCAGACATCACATGGCTATAAAGGAAGAGAGACAGACAAGTGAGGTGCCAGGCTCATTTTAACAAATGAGATGCCAGGCTCTAGGAAACTGTGAGAGTGGTAACTCACTCATTACCAAGAGGACAGTAGCAAGCCATTCATGAGGGAGACAACCCCATGACCCAAACATCTCCCATTAGGCCCCACCTCCAACATTAGGGACCAAATGTCAACATGAGGTTTGGAGGAATCAAATATCCAAACCATAGCAGTATCCCATGTATAACAGCATGAAAAGGATAACCCACTTTCTAAGATGACCCAAGTAGACATTGTAATGTGTAGGGAAATGGGCAGCTGATGAAGCTGGAAAGATGATCAGGCCAGATTATAAAATGCTAATGAATTTAGACTTTATCCTATTGGCAATAGAGAGAAATTGAAAGGTTTTAAGCAAGAGAGTGACATAACTAAATTTTAGAAAAATGACTCTGCAGGCAGATACACCAATGAATTTGAGGAAGGTGAGGTAAGACGAAGATGGCATCTCAGGCAATAAGTAGTGATAATCTGAAATATGGCAGTGGCTGTAATCTTGGAAATAAACAAATGTAGGGGACACTTAGGAATAAGACTAACAGGACTTGGTTGACTTTTTTACTTCTGTCAATACATTGAACTGCTAAAAAGAAGAACCAAATCTCATGTGAAGAGCAAGAGGGAGGACTAAGAGTATAATCAGCTTCTTCTGTAGGGTTATTTATTTTTAAGTGCTGAAATTCTCACACGTTTTGTGGCATCTTTCTTTATTTTCTTAATGGTATTCATCCTCCAAAACATTCAGCAAACTGGAGAGCTCTTCGATTGAACCATGTAGACTTGTGATCCCCAATTAGGTTTAACAACTTAGAAAACCACACAAAGTAAGCTGCTTACTTATTCTTACTGGTTTCCATTAAATAGTCTGAAGGTGAATGGGAACATTTATAAATTTCCTAAACCTAAAAAAAAGAAAAAGTTATATCTCTAAGTCTCATTCAGACAAGTTTCTTGTTTACCTTCATTTGTTTAACCAATGTGATTTTATCCCGTTATTATCTTGCCATCAAAAATATTTTTTTAATTGTAGCGAAAAGCAATTGACATTACCCTGATCAGTTGTTTGACAATTTGCTCTAATGGAAATATATGTGTGTATTTGTATTATGAACCTACATACGTGTGTGTACATATACACAAATACAGATGCGTGACTTTGTGTATTATTTTATATAAAATTATGATCACAAAAAATTATACCTGAATTTATCCTGAAATGAAGTGACTTCGTAGGCTCAGAAACTTAAAAAGTTTTATTATAGTACGTTTTACCCTACCTGCACATTTCTTGCTAGTTTCTCTCCTAGAAATTTCTTCAAAACCAAGAAGCAAAACTTAGAAAAGAACAGAATGAAAAGAGAAGAAAAACTATTTAGAGAAAGGTTTAAGGTACGTTCTCTTCTGAAGGTAAAAATTAGCAATATTAACAGCTAGGAGCTTTCATTTAAAAAAAAAATCTGTAAGTATGCTGTGCCTCTGCCTCTCTGAGATACAGACATGATCTTTGACACAAAAAGCCAGCATTTCATTCCTATTTTTTCCTGGTACATTTCTATATTGTTATGTCTGTCCATGCTATTCCTTCTTCCTGGAAAAACTCCTAAGTTGTTCTTGAAGGCTCTGTTCAAATGTCACCCACTCCTCCCTAACTCGTCCAGGTTAAGTTACTCCTTCAGCACATTTTATATGTCTATTTTACACGTCTTTTGTAACACTGATTAGTTGTATTAAAGCATTTGTGTGTGTGTGTGCGTGTGTGTGTGTGTGTGTGTCTGTGAATCTTTAATTAATCTCTTGAGTCCTTTTTGAGAAAGAAACCCTGTCTCATTCAAGTTTGTTCCCCAGGGCCTGACATAAAACTGTAAGCACAGTGTTTGGTAAATGAATGCCTAAATAAACAAGCAAATGAATGACAAAATGAACAAATGAATGATGCAGCATCCGAAGCTCTCTGCCTTCTTATTCTGTTATTAAGAGTCCATGGGACATTTTTTCATTATTCTAAAGCTCAAACTTCCCTGATTTCATATATTGTCAAAGTGAGGATTATTAACTATGAAACATACTGAGCACCTTCCATGTGCTAGACACTGGACTGAGAGAGACAAAGTGTGCATCCTCCTCATAGTCACTATGCTGCCTAAAATTTTTCAAAAATTCCCCCTTGCAAAATGGTTAAAGTTTAGGCTTCTTAACATGGCATAGAAAGCTCTTTATGTCCTGATCTTTGCATATCTTCCTGGCTTTATCTCTTGCCACTCTTTGCCTTGCACTTTCTGCTTTGGCAACAAACTGCTCATAGTTCTGTCCCTCGAATGAACCTCCACCTCTATCTTTGTCTTGCTATTTCATCCCTCTAAGTGCTTCCTTGGTCTATTCCAACTCTCTGGTACACCTTTGCACTTTTCTGTATCTGACTAGCTCGTTCATTTATCAAGACCCAGTCGAGGCATCTCCTCTTCTCCAGGAAGACTTGCCCAAATCTTCTAATTAAATAAATTACTCTTCTTCTGTTTACCTATATACTTGAGCAATCTCTAGCTTATCACACATTAAAGTAATTGGAATTACATGTTCATCATATTACACTATGAGCTCCTAGAGGACAATGGTTATTTTATTTATGTTTATATCCATGTGCAGAGCATAATAAGGCTGCTTAGCATTTTGTAAACATGCATAAAATATTTTTTGAGATGAACTAAAATAGGAATGTACACAAATCTCTCATCATCACTGATAATTCCTGTTTGAACCAAAGCTGATTGGGGTTACTATATCTAGAAATTGTGATATGTTATTATCTACTGCAACCCTGATGTTACTTGATTAATTGAAAAACAACAGTGAGGCAATTACTTGTTGAAAAGACCCTTATATTCCATCCAATCCTTTTTTCCACCTCTGTGTGTTTTTTATTGTTTCATGTGTGAAAGATATTCCATTTCCTGTATATGTGTATAATTCCATTCTTATTACCTGTAGTGGGTTTCCTTGATAGGCCATTTCAATAATTTTTGTCCAGCTCAAATCATAAAACGTTGTATAGCTCACTTGTGCCAGGCACTGGGGGTACAAAGATGAATAAGACTGTCTACTATTTTCATTTGATAAGACAGTATGTTATTAAATTCTATAATAGGAATAGATATAAAGCATAGTTAAGACAGTAAATTATATATGGCAGTCATAACAGTCTTCATGTGAAGTGGTTAAGAGACATAAGAGTATTTCAAGTAAACAGCATGTATTCAAGGATTGTCATGTAGCTTGATGCAGCTTCAGTAAAGGGGACAAAGATAGAGGGATGGGGAATGACAGTATGCAATGGACCCCAAATGTCGAGCTAAGCAGTGTGGATCTCATCTTGAAAGCAATAAGGAGTTTTTAGAACTTTGTAAATAGAAGGGTGACCAATTAGATTTGTATTTTAAGAAATCACTATGAATTCACAGTGAGTAATGGCCTGTAAAGGATAAAAAAGCCAGTAAGGAAGCGATTACTTTAAGTAAAGGAAAAATCTGTCTTGTATTTCTGATCTCATTTGGTATAGGTTGATCTTGTAATATATGATCCAAACACAGGACACTTCTAAGAGTGGAAGGAGGCACTCTTAATCATAATAATAAATAGTTATAGATAGATACATTAGTTATAAACAGACAATACCCTGGGCAAAAGGAGATATTTGGTCACACTAATTTGGAGAAGTAGGTACCTGTAATCTAAGCTGCGTATTCTGGAACTATTTATTTGTGGTCAACAGATTTCAGTGCATTAGAAAGTGATGTGCTGCAGATGTATAGGTCAGTTTGTCAGGAAAAGATACCCAAGGTCAGGAATTGAATTTCTCAGGAGTTTCTAACAAAATGCCTGCCTGCCTGTGAATACAAAAGGAGACTGGGAATTGCCCCCAACTGGATACAGTCAATTCCTACTACTTTGAAATAACATGTAGTATAGCTATATATAAGAATACATAAGCTCACACAGAGAAAAAGCATGGAAAGAGTGTCATCTAGAAATGATAGGTATGTAAGAATATTATAAGCTTTAAGGCACTACACAGAGGTTTTAGTAATGGAACAGTTAACTACCATCTATGGTGCTTAATTCATACCTATGTTACAACCTCATCCAGCAGGGCTCATTCTAGTACAATTAAATAACGGTTGTGCAAACACTGGGGTCTGTCTGGGGATAGGGTGCGGGGAGGGAGAGTATTAGAAAGGATGGCTAATGCATGCTGGGCTTAATACCTAGGTGATGGGTTGACAGGTGCAGTAAACCACTATGGCACACATTTACCTATGCAACAAACCTGCACATCCTGCACATGTACCCCATACCTAAAAAGAATAATTTTAAAAAAGATTTGAGAGAAAAAATAATAATAATGGTTGTGAAAACACTTTGAAAGTATAATCATACCAAACAAATGTGAGATTGCACCATTTTACTATTATTTTCTTAAACGACTTTCCTTTAACTGCATACTTTCCTATTTTCTCTTCCTGTATGTGTTATTTAACTAGTCAATAGTATCTTGAGTTAATTTTGAAGTTACTATATTATATCCTCCATTAATTTTGTTATGAAAAATAACAACTATGCAAGAATGGTCTGATTAGTAATTTCTCATTTCAGTACGACAAAGAGATTATTGTCATCAATACAGCAGTGGCCTGTTCCAATAATTCAAGAAATGGAATATTTGATTTGCCAATAAGTCCTGGAGAAGAATTGGAAGTCATTGATACCACCGAACAAAATCTAGTGATATGTCGTAATTCTAAAGGCAAATGTAAGTTTATTTGCTTATCTTTCATAATATTTCATTCTTTTTAAAAAATCTTAAAATGCTTTAAAAAAACATTTTCTCTATAACTTTCAAATTAACGGTGACTTTTGTTTCTATTAGATGGATATGTGCTCATTGAACATCTAGATTTCAAGTAAGCTGTTTGATTTTATACTTTAAATCATGAGTTCCTAATACATTGTTGTATACATTAGTCTCAAGAGAAGACTACTGAATTTATTGAAATTCAGGATAAGTTTTAAAAATTAGACATGCAGTGCCCTATTCTATAAGGATTATGTTGGAAGAGACTTTATTACTGTCTCTCCTGAGTATGCTATCAAACTTCTCTACACAGCTTTATAAACATTTTAAAAGAACACAAACATATTAAACTAGATCAGAAATTCCCTAGAAATCTCCCACTCAACTGTTTCATTGTCCTATATTTTAAAATGTTTGCATATTTTTATTTTTTCACAGGCATCAAAGTTGGTCACCTTAGAAAAATCAAGATCAAATGCTATGGACTGCACAAAGGAGAACTAGTCCTAAGATCCTAGTCCTGCGTTACATCAGTTTCAGTTTACATGTCAAAATTTTGAGATGGTGGAATCTGTGGAAACTTTCGTTCTGAACTTAAAAGAGAAAAATAAAAACAAATCCTCAACATTTAGATGTTGGTTTTACTCCTAAAAGGTTATCTTTCAATGTCTATTTCAGTATCTACTTCACTGTCAGTTCAAGAGAATGTGAAACAGTATGTGTTAGCATTTGAGCACTTATTTAATGAGCCATATCCAAAGTTAGAAATCATGCCTTATGGCACCTAGTCAGTTGTGCAGATGGTTAGTTTGCTTCTAATATTAGTATATGAGCATTTGTAATTTCTAGATGTTGTGCACTCAAACTTGGTATAATTTAATTCTGAACAGTAAACAGTGTAACCAAGGTCTTTTAAATACTCAAGTTTAAGGTATAATCTTAATTATGGCTCAGTCTTTAAAAAAGTATAAATGTCCTTTTACTTTATCACAAAAATAAACTCATATGAATACTGTTCCACATTTGTTTCTTTTGGGAATAGTTTGCAGAAAAATAATTTATTCCTAAATTCACCCATCATTTTAAGAAGTGCCCAAATGTATTTAACAAAATAATATATATGCTGTATTACTTTAAAACATCTTTTTGTCCAAAATAAGAACAATTGTCATTATTTTGTCTATGCCCAAATAACTATTCAAATAATAGCATTCATATGTACTTTCATTTATATGGAATTAAATAAAAATTTAAAAGCTGACATCTATTCTGTTTTTTAAATGAGGTGCACTGCATGTCAATAAGAGAAATAAATTCTACATATGCATTTAACAGTTTAAAATTTTTGAAAGTGGCTTTTTCAGCGCTGAAAAACTGAAGAATTTCACTCAGTTCTTTAAGCAGGGTTATTCTGGCCTTCACAAGTGTGATGGAATTTGTTTCCATGGCCTTGTTCTTTATATTGAGGCCATTTTTTTTTTAAGCTTCTAGGTTCTTTTATCTTCCTTTTCATGTTCCAAATGACATTTGTCAATAAAGGCCAAACTTATTCTAAAAGACAGGAATCAAAGATATTCAAAAAGTTCAGAGTTTAGAGAAGGAGATCTGTAGAGATTATTACAAATAACGTAATTAAACAAGATATGAATGGAACAGCTAAAGGATTAAAAAATATTTTACAGAGAAGGTAACACTGAAGCTTCGTCTTTAAATATGTTATGTTTATTTATTAGACAAGGCACAGAGATGATTGATGGAAGATCCATGCTCTGTCTGGTGATTGATTGATTATGAAGAAATTCAAAGTAAATGGAGTGTAGAATGTCTGTCTGGTGGGGAATGGCAAGAGCTGTTTGTTTGGCATGGGGTAAGGTGGGGCTACAATGTGACAGACTTCACTTGTACCTTTTCCTTTAGAGAGTAAGGAGTCATTTAAGGGTTAAGCAGGAAGAAAATGCCAGTTATTATTTGGGGGACAGGAAGAAAATGCCAAATATTTGGGGGATGGGAAGCAATCACCAATATGGATAATAGAGGAGAGAGTAATCGTTTTTGCAATATTCTAGGCAAAAGGGCATTACAGCTTAAGACAGCAGCAACAGAAATATATGGTATAGGAGCCCCATTAGAGGTATTACAGAGGTAAAACAGAATGTCTTGGTGACTAATTAGATGTAGCGATGAGAGAGGAGGAGAATTAGGGAATGGCTTTGAGACTTCCTTTCTGGGAGATGAAATTAAGGCTGGTACCAAAGATTGGAAATTTATTTCTGCTTAGACTAGAGACCAAACTCCTCTGTTTGGACCCCCTGAACTAAATCTACTACCCAGTGAGAGGCAATTGCAGCCCTCTCCTGCTCTCCAGGACAATAATTGTAGGCACTGTAGAAGACAAGGCTAAGTATGGTCTGTGGGCAAGAAGAGTATATGACTATGTTGAGCAGAAATCTTTCATGCAGTAATCCTGTCCAACAGAGAATCATATACCATACATCACTCTTGCCACTTCACCAAGCCATTAAGCCTTTTAAATCTTGGAGTGACAGTGGGACTAAATTTGAATTCAGATAGGTTTGTCCCCTGCACTTTCTGCCTCATTACATGGCCCCTTGTTCTAATTTGACTCAGCTCTTTGCATCTCAATTTCCTTATTATTAAAACAGGGCTAGGCTGGGCGCAGTGGCTCACGCCTGTAATCCCAGTACTTTGGGAGGCTGAGGTGGGTGGATCACTTGAGGTCAGGAGTTCGATACCACCCTGGCCGATATGATGAAACCCTGTCTCTACTAAAAATACAAAAATTATCTGGGTGTGCTGGTGCACGCCTGTAATTCCAGCTACTCAGGAGGCTGAGACAGGAGAATCGCTTGAACCTGGGAGACGGAGGTTGCAGTGAGTTGAAATCACGCCACTGCACTCCAGACTGGGTGACAGAGCGAGATTCCGTCTAAAAAAAAGATAAATAATAATTAAAAAAAAAAAAAACAGAGCTAATAACTCTCATCTCGTCTACTTCACAGGGTAGTTGTTATGCTATAATGTAATAATATAAAAGTAGTCTAAAATCCTGAATACACACTACTGTATAAGTGGTGTCATTTTTGTACCTGGCTTTTTCTGAAGTTGGAAGATGCTGAAAACAAAAATACATTTTTAAAATTCAAATTGTAAGACTTGAAAGAATGGCTGTTAAGTAATTTTTTTGCATAGACAGAAAAATGTTCAGGGTTAAAAGCCTATTAAATATGGTATACTAAAGTATAAACTATTTTGTCTAATATAAACTAGTACCTAACTATTATTTATTGATATGGTATAGGTTTTTAGAAAAAAATGATTGTTTTTCTATCCTTTCTATCCATACTTAATGCAGTTATGTTTCTATTTCACTAATATCAGTCACATTTCCTCCATTCTTGGAATCAAAGCATCAAAACTATATTTTTCACATTATTAATCTGCAAGGTTTCAAAATGTAAACACCATAACTAAGACTTCAGTAATATTCTAAGCAGATGTCATCTGTCTCCTAGAAACCCTAATTGAGCATAAAGCTTCAATGGAAAGACTAAGTTTACCTTTTATTTTCAATTTTGTATAAAAATATAGTAAAGATAATGGCATCATCAGATAAAAGGCAGCATACTAAAGCACTTTACTGTAACAGAGGCTTAACACTGGCCTACTCATAAACTCACTGACATATAGGCCAGGCCCTCCAGCAACCTTAAGATGTCCCAAGACCTCCCTTCCCGCTTCTGAGTTTCTCTGTGATATACTCACTCTTCTAAGATGTCATAGCAACCTTCTTGACCAGGCCCTCTCCTGCAAATCTTCAAAACTTTTAAAAGGTATATTCTAGGGGGAAGAAATGGAAGAGGAAAAATATGAACATACAATAACAAAACTAAGAAGTGGCTGCCTCTTATTATGGGTGAGATTTTTCTGATTCTTTAAATTTCCTTCACTTTTCAAATTTCCTACAGGAAGCATCTATTATCTATGCAATTTAGGAAATAAAAAATATTTTCACTAATAAAAACAAATCCATTCTTTTCCTTCAAGTTTAGAAAAAGCAAATTGAAATCTTTACCTGTATATCCTGATTTTAATATGCTTGCATTTTTCTTTTTCATGAGGGCTAAAGTATGCTTTTCAAAAAGCACATAGTCCAGGTGGGCCCAACTTAATCACATAAGCCCTTAAAATTTGAAAAGGAAGGCAGTAAAGTCAGTCTCAGCAAGTCAGAAACATGTAGTTGAAGAGAAGGAAGAAGAGATCCAACCCATAAGCCACTTGTTGCTGGTTTTGAAGATGAAGGGAGCCAAGGGCCAAGGGATGATGGCCTCTAGAAGCTTTAAATGATTCCTAGCCAACAGCCAAAAAGGCAACAGGGACCTCAATCCTACAGCACCATGGAATGAAATTCTGCCAACAACTCAATGCAACTGGAAACAGATTCTCCTCCACAGCCCAGCCCTATCAATGCTTTGGTTTTCAGCTTGTGTGACTTGAGGCAGAAAAACCAGCTAAGCCTGCTGGGTTTCTAACATATAGAACAATAAAATAATTTGTATTTTAAGTCGTTAAGTTTGTAGTAATTTGTTACAGCAACAGTAGAAAACCAATGCAATAACTCAAGTTAAAAACTATAATGTACAACTAAGATGACAAAAATGAAAAAAGATGGTGTGAAATCACCAATGAGTATAGGCAATCTTTTCCACTAACAACTTTCCTGTAACTATTAGTTGGTGTGCAGAATACCAGCATAATGATGGAGCAGAAACAAAAATAGCTTTCAAATGAATCAGAGACTTTTAATTTGATTTTGTGAAAAAAGCTTATAAGCAATCAGACAGGCTGCTTTTCTCCTTTGTGTTTGTTACCTATGAGTTTCATATGGTGCAAACATTAATTAGGAAGAATCTGTAACTATGAAATGCTATGTAATTCAGGAAGACATCTTTTCCATATGGTTAATGAAAGACAAATCCTTCCCATATCATTTAACACTCACAAAAAGTATATAACAAACAAAACTGAAATTTGAATCGGAGTTTATTTGAACAGAAAAGCACTGGAAGTCTGTTCATTTTTTTTTCTTGAAACCAATTATAAAAAGTGGTCCCAATTTCAACAATTAAAAAAAATTTTCAATAAATACGTAATGAAGTACTTCAATGGGTCAATGTATCAACCTATGGATTTTTTTTTCTTTTTCAAAGGTATGCTAAGAATGAATGAATGCAGGATGTTTTTGAAAAAAAGTAAATATTATATCCTATATTATGATTGTCATGACACAACCAAATGGCTGTTTTCAGTTTTATTTGTTGCATTCAAAATCCACTGTATATTTAAGCATACATGACAAAGAACACAACCATTCTTCCTAAAACAATAAAGATACTATCCTTAGAGTTCACAGTTCTACAACAACTTTACATTAAATGTTCAAAACATTGTACAACCACAGATATTTGTGAACAGTCTTGAGAGCTGTATTTTGGTACATTAAGGCAGCTTCAGCCAACATTTTAAGAGATTCTGAATATTTGTTACAACACAGGACAAGTTTGATATTTGAATACTTGAGGTCTCAAGAAATATTAAATGTCACCTAACAACACCACAATTTGTGAAACTGTGATCTTACCTAAAAATCAAGATACTCATCCTATCAGTATCAAAGATACTTATTTTTTTTAAAAAAAGGAATTTACATTGAATGTGGGGATATAAACCCTGTATTTAAACAAGGGCTTTCAAACAGTTGCTCACACACATCTGTGAGGTAGGTTATTATCCACATTTTGTAAATCAAAAAACTAAATGAGGTTACGTGACTTGCTGCTGCTTCAGCAGCCAAAGGAAGAAACTGATTCCAAGTTAGATTTTGTTCTTAGCTCTGAGTTGTTTCCTTGACAAACTTTTTAAAGGGTTAAAATATAAAAACTGCCATTCATCAAATTCATTTATAAAGCATGAGAAGGTAGCCAAATGTTATGTTTACCAAGGTGACTTATAAAGTCAATCAACATGAAAGAAATAGGAAAATACATTTAGTGAACAACTTCTGATAGTGATAGGGAGAGGTTTGACCAAGGGAACTCAATCAGGCAGATGCAAACAACATGATCATTTGTAGGAGGCAGATCTAAGGAGAACTGAGAGGGATTAGAAAAAAAGAAAATATAGTTTAAACAAGTTTTTACTATTACTCTTCTTATAATTTAAGGGAGAAGGCACAATTTAGTGTTTTTTTTTTTTTTTTTTTTTAGAACAGTGGATCTCTCTTCCACTTTAGGAAAATGTTATCTGTCTAGAAAAATGGCCATTTTTGGTAGCAAAACTTAAATGTGTAACTGTGAAAAATGCACGTTTAAATTAGTAGAAAAAAAAATAACAATGCAATTCTCCTTGGCTAGAATGTTTTTGTTCCTCCTTGAAATTTTAAATCAACACAACGTAGCAACCCTCCCTGCCCACCTCAGAAAAGGTCACACTGTATGCACTGTATGAACCTTGTCAAAATTCTACGTATTATTCAAAAAAGTTTTCATGCCAGGATATTCTCCAAATTCTTTTTTCATTTTTTTTTCTGGAGAGTGCTCTATTCTAGGATTTAATTACACTTCAAACGTAATTGAAATTTACCTACCCTGCTTGTCCAAACAATCAAGAGCCACTTCCATAAAATCTAAACTACTTTAGATATAAACCATTTTTACCAAAAGTCACATCATAGTCACAACTGCAAACTGGCATTGCTATGCAAGGCTGGCAGTAAACATTAACATTAGCTTGCAAAATTAATACAGGCCTACAGTCTGATAACTCTTCTAGACCCAGCCTGATTCTTATCAGGCTATGGATGAAGAAGTTTAATTAAAACTCAATCCAGTCTAGACTGTGTGACCTGTTCTTTGTGCTATTACTGTTCAGTGGCATCAAATGCATCATAATTATAGGTGGAAAGGCTAGTAATGATGCCAGCAACTTGTTTAAATGAAGTTTTTATAATTTTTAAAGCTCAAACATAAGTACATTTCAAAGTTTTATAAGGTTTGGGAGAAACTCTATCAAGCTAATAATTCAGTGTTTGTAAATTAGAAATATATTCTATGAAAATAGTTATATCATGTAATATACATACAAAATGAAAAATCAATCTGCATATGAAATTTGGATAAGACTAATTCAGATAATAGTCAAAAACTATAACAATTTAGACAGGGACTGGGGCTAGTTTTCTTTTTCCTTTTTTTGTTTTTTTTTGAGACAGTCTTGTGCTGTCACCCAGGCTGGCATGCAGTGGCATGATCTTGGCTTATTGCAATCTCTGCCTCCCAGGTTCAAGAGATTCCCGTGCCTCAGCCTCCCGAGTAGCTGGGATTACAAGCAGCCTGTCACCACACCGGATAATTTTGGTATTTTTAGTAGAGACGAGGTTTCACCATGTTGGCCAGACTGGTCTCGAACTCCTGAACTCGGGTGATCCACCCACTTTGGCCTCCCAAAGTGCTGGGATTATAGGCATGAGCCACTACACCCAGCCTAGTTTTCCTTTTTCAAAAATGATTGTGCTATAAGAATCACATAAAATTATAAGAAGAATCATGTTTTAAAGTTTCTTCAGCATTTTTAAGCACCCTCAATAACTCAGAAATACTTATAAAAACCAATATGCTAATCATAAATACTTCAGATAATTACATCTCGTTAGTACAATCAACTGCTTAAAATAAACTAAGAACTATTTATTTAAGACTACTTTATGTCACTCTAAGACTTGAAAGCAATACATCTGTGTTTATTTTTACTACTCAACCACTCTGATGTTTTATTAATTCAGACTGTTCTTCCCCAGAGGAAAGGTGGTTTCCTATAAAGAGCAATTGATCACTGCTGGATACTTGTATGGTGTTAAAGCTTTATGAAGAGCTTTCTGGTCCTGCTTCCTCATCTGGAAATGGCAAAAATGCTTTCTCTGGTTACCTCTCAAAGTTATCGTAATAGTAAGTAAACAATATGAAGGGTCTCTAGATCGAAAAATCACTATAAAAAATATATGGAACACTTTCATCACTCCAAATTTGTAATGCTTTGCTTCATGCCAAATGGATGTGATGTTTCACCGTGTTTGGTTTTCTGGATGATTTTTGCCATTTGCATTCCTCCAGCAGCTGTATTTAGAAAAATATTCAAGTATATACCTCTGACATGCCTCACCAAATCAAAACAGAAACATTCACACTCATATAAAAACTCTAAATATATAAAAAGTGAACACTAACACAAATCATATGGAAAAGCAGAAAAGAACTTTAAAGCTCAAAGGTACCTTAGAAGTGTTAAAATCTACCTTTCTCATTTTAGGAGTTATAAAAATGAGGCCAAACATAGGATGTGACTTACCAACAGATTGCACATATCCCTCGTCCAGAGTTTTTAATAGAGTCTTTGAGAACTACTATTAAAATAAATTACATTCCCTATTTAAAAAGCCACAGGGTGACACAGGAGAACCAAGTAAATAAATGCAAGATTGAAAAGGTTTGGGTCTTAAAAACAAATAAACAAAAACAGACAAAATTGTGAACATGTCTAGCATTTAGACACTCAGCTTTTACAACCATTAATAGGATGTAAATTAGTACCCGGTGAATAGACAAAGTGGTGTCTGTGGCAGGCATGTTCCAGGTTTTTACATTTTATAAATCCAAAGTGAGGTGCCTACATTAACTCAGTACACTGCACATTATTCAATGCTACAGATAAATCCAAACAGATCAAAAATCTACAATAGTTGCTTATGATTTTTTCTAAACTATGTCTCATTTAACAGTAAAAATCAATTTGTATTCCCTGAGTACAAACTGTCTAGGGAATAAGAAAAAGCAAACTCAGAATTATAAAACTGTCCTGAAAAACCCATTTGCAGAAAATGGAGAATTGTTCATGCTACATATAGCCAATACCCTGACATAGAAATATAATTATTTCTGATTAATTTAGCCTTCTGGATTCTCTTTATAGATAGCTAGTATAAAGGAATGTAAACACTAGAGATTACAAAAGTGTCTCTTAACAGGTTAATCAAAACAAAAACCCAACTTGTAAATGGTTTGCCTACTTCCCTCCCTGCATATTCTATTTGAGAAGGTAGCTGTTCCTACACTGAAACATAAGGAATTAGATCTTCATATGGTATCCCAAAGAAAAGTATTTAGAAAATGTTCACTGACTACACATTTTAAAAGTAAGAATCAGTGACACTGATTCATTACCCACTGAGCCATAAGCATGAGTCATTAGTCTCTTAGACTTTTTTTTAACAAGTAATCTTGTTTCAGGTTTTTCAGTCACCCATGCATAAGAATAATGTTGCACTCAAATAATAATACAAGATGATTAAGAAAACCAAGGTGTCATGAAACAAGTTGCAGACACAGAAAATTCTATTTAATCCAGCATTCACTCACGATGAACATGTCTGCAAGTTAAAACAAAGTAATTCTAATTTTCAATCAGATTCTCCCAACAACCAGTAAGAGAAATGGAAGTGTTAATTATTAACTACCCTAATTATGGCATTCTGGGACAGTATTTTCCTAAAAAATGTATTTCCCAAATTTGCTTTTCATGGGCTATTAAGTTTTTTAAAATGAAAAATTAATTTGGGCAAAGTTCAACAAAGTTATGTGGCTTTCTTTTTTTCACAGAAAGACCTGTCAAAGTCTTTAATGCTGACATCCACTGTCATCTTCGAGGGGAAGAGTAGCATGCAACATTTTTCAAACTTAGTCCATGCAATCATTTTTTCTGTGGAGCATCTCACAGGATATACTTTGGGAAATGCAGTTCTAGAACTACATGGAGTCCATTTCCATGATATAACTAAGGCCTTATCTATAACCTCATAATAGAAGCTCTTCTCCCGTGTCTTCACTGGAGGAAATTATTCTTAGCCCACATCTACCTATCACATTCAGAGTTTACAACACTGAAATGTGGAAATTTGGGGCTAACAACTGATTCTTTCCCTCTATCTGCCCATGAGCAACAAAAAGCCTGCTGTAACAATGTTCCAGCTCTAATTGTGCTGGACTGCATCTCCTGAAATCTTCTAAAAACCAACCACCTAGATTCACAAAATAGCTGTTTTAAAAACATACACATAAAAGAACCCAAACTGTGACCATTAGTTCTCCTAAAATTCAGTAGGTAAATATCAAGCTACAGCTGTTCATAAATACTGGCAAGAATTAGAAAACAGTAAATAATTAACTCTCAAAAAACATGGCAATAATCCATATAAGGTAATTTTGATATGAACAATTTTTTAATATCTGACCTATTAGACTAATGGAGCTAAAACATCACTGGATTCCTTCTGTTTCTCTGCCTTCAAAATTTTTGTGGATTTTGTCATTGGGGTTAAGTAATCTGATTAGTTCCTTATTTCTAAGGTAATTCCATTCATAATCAGGCAAATATTATGAGGTGGCCCTGTTTTTTCCCAAAAGAGGTATGGACCCATTTAGAGAACCCAAAACTATGCCATATCTATAATGGACCAGGCTAACACAGCAGGACTGCTTATCACTATACAAATAATCATGTAAAAATTACCTTTTGGTGCCACAAGATGGCAGTCTTTCAATAATTAAACCTTAAACTATCTCAAATTGCAACCCGCCCTCCTTCCCAAATTGGTGAACTATTCATTTATCTTGATATTAAGAAGTTGGACTTATAAGTTATTTAACATCAGTTTTTAAAAGATCTGCAAAGCCATATGATGTGACACAACGCAAACTCCTGATTCAAAGAATATTTAAAGATAGACACACTTGTTTTCCACTAACACAGGAGAAACTTAGTCTAACATTCTCATTTGCTTCTTGGCAGAACATACATTACTTTTGGCAAAGAGAAGCCTGTCAAGGTAATGTCATTTTTTTGTTTTCAAGAGCTTAATTTTTTTAGGGTAATCCAGGTAAATAAGTGTTAATTACAACATAAAAATAACAAATGAATAAATACAAATTAGATAAATTACACAGAATTTAAAATTAAATACTTTTACTAAAACAAAATATAATCAATAAACTATTATCTACCCTGCTATAGTTTGTGTTTTTTTAATCTTAAAGAAAACCTGCACAAAGCAAAACAAACAAACAAAAAAACTGGTTTTTGCTTAAAAGCACTGGTGTGTGAATATATATATTTATTTATTTAAGATAAAAATTTTTTCTTGATGTTCAAAGCTTCCCTGCCCTATCAGGTTCAACAGTAAAGGTCATAGCCAGCCCTTAGGGCCAGAACAGTGTTTTCAAACTTGGACTAGAAAAGATTCAAAGCTATATCAATCAACCACTCAGGATCAAACAATGAACAAAGACAATAGTGACTAGGTGAGGTGAGGTGAAGGGAGTGGCTTCCAATGAAGAATTAGCATTATGAGCTGCACCAGGACCCTAACACCTAACACAGAAAATAAAGATCAAAGATAAGGATTCTCATTTAAGGGACTGTTGATACTTTGCTTTGTTTCATTTAACTATTTTATCACTGTTGGTGAAATGCAAAAATAAATAGAGGCAAAAAGAATTTGAGAAAGGTAGATTTTGAAGACATTTTTTAAATGACGTAAGTTTATGTAAAAGACAAAAGTTGTTGCAATTCCAGATGTTCCAATATTAATTTGAAACTTGAAGGCTCTTAAGATAAATATATTATTCAGGGAAATCTCAAGATAAAAATCCTGAGTTAGTTACAGCTGTTTTTAAGAAACCTGAAAATTGTGGTTACCTGTTACATGACCACAGTCCTTCTGTTGAATACACTAGGCAGTATTTGTACAAATACTGTTAGAAAAACTTGGCTTCTGAAATCTTGGAGGCAGGTTTTTAAGATTTCAACATTTAAATAATATCTTACTCGTGGTTCTTTTACTTTTTAATCTTCTTTTGTTAAAATAAATTGGGGGCATAAACACAGCATAAAGCCTACTGAAATTTAGGAAGTAAACTAGATTTACCTACACCAAACAGCAAAGCAAGGAGGTGTTGCCAAACCACCCTTACATTGAGATGGTTCGCCAGTGTGGTGTGTTAATCGTCTGTAGTGAACTCATTATTGTAATTAAAAATCTTCATTGATATTAACCTATTAAAGATATTGCCTATGTGAATTTATCATAGGCACAATAGAATTACAGATTTCTACAAGTAAATAAGATGTCAGATATTTTGTTTTCAGTAATTTCAATAGCATTGTGTGCCCCTGGAAATAATTCATGTTTCTCAATTAGTATTGCAGTGGATATTATCCAAAAGTAAGATAAAAATTTAAAGAATATAACTGATTTTCATAGTGCAATAACAGAAAGAAACTAGAGACAGATCAACGGGCTAAAGTAGTAATCAGACTGGCACACATTTCAAAAAAATCCATGGTGTGACTGCCCAGGCGAGGTGAAACTGAAGACAATGTGCTTCCGGTCAAAGAGCCAGTGAGAGAGCCAGAAAGTGAATGGCTCTCTGCAGTTGTGGAATCAAAACTTGATCTTGGTCTGTGTAAGCCAGCAGCAGAACAGGAACGCTGAGGTGTTGAGGAACCAGATCTCTGCTCCACTACTTCATCTGAAATGGACCAAAGAAGAGCAATTTATATGGAAAGTATATATGCCCAAGCCCTTCCTATGAATTTATGATATTCAGAATATTAAGTAAACACATCTGAGCAAGGGCAACTTAATAATGAATGTCATGTTTCTGTGTTGTAGAAACACAGTCTTCTTCCTTCCAACAATCATAACAAACATCGCTACCAATCACAAGACTTGCACACAGTCAAAATGTGGCCCCTAAGTCCTGCTCAAATTGGAGTAATCGGCATTGATATTGGAATCAAACTGATATCTCTGCATGTGAAGAAAGCATATCCTTGACAACTTATTTTCTTCTAGCATATCAACAAAAAAAATCACTAAGGTAAAAACAAAAGTCACCATCATATATTGCCTTGGGGAGGTGGAGGGCAAAGTGAGAGAAATCTTGTTAAAACTGCATTTTCTACGATTCCCAGGACCAATCTCCAGAAATTCTGATTTAATAGGTCTGGAGTGGTTCCCAGGGATCTGCGTTTTAATAACAACAACATGTAATTTCGATGAAACAGGTCTGGGATCCATATAAACACTACCATACATAGTTGATGGTAGTTCAAGAGTAAAATTTAAATGCTTCGTTTAAAACAACTTCCCTAACTCTAAACTCCGTTCCATTCTTGTTCCATCCAGCACCTGACCCTTAGTTTATTCTGGTTTTATCCCACTTGGGCCTCTGAAATGAATAATCAGATTTGGTTTACCCAAGTTTAATTCTTGGCACACACTAAGTTCTTGGACATGACAATTTTCCCTGACGCCTTTGGCTCCTTGATTGCCATGGGTACCTAAATCCAACCCAAATCCCAATGGAGACCTATTTGGTCGCCCTGGCCACCCAGGATGAGGAAAGGTGATGAAGGAGAAAGTTTAGACACTATAATACTAACTAATAAAATATGAATGGAGAAATATGACAAAGAATCTGACAAGTCAGTTAATTTTGAAAAGTAAAACCTGCTTCCCTGTTGTTCCTTACTTGTGCTCCACGGCCAACACTTCAAATGATTCTTTTACGCCACGGAGATACTTCTTGTGGAAAGATGCCAGGTAAGAGGTATTCAACATGTCTTTCATCCTTTTCACTTCACTTACATTTTGGTTAAGTCTAGATTGCTTAAAAACCAGTGCAGGACCTACCCACCGGATGTCTTCGAGATGATTTTAACATCTGGTCAACTAGTGCCAAGTTTTATCTTCTCAGAGCTCATGCATGCATAGCTTCCTTACCATCAATGCTTTTAAAGTCCAAAAGATAGCTCCTGTTATCAACCAGGTAAAGTTGTAAGCTCATTTTCACGTAATTGCCAGTCACTGGATTTTTTCTTCTTACACGAAGATGGTATGCATTCACTACCTAAAGTGAAAAATCAATAAAAATAATAAACTACAAAATATCTACCTTTTTATGCAAAAAAAGTCAAAACAAATAATTAATAGGGGTGAGGTAGGAAAGGAATACGAATAATTTTTTTATATTACTGGTAGTTCACTTTAGTATTTATTTAATCCCCACTAAGCAGTACTGTATGGCAATTAAGATTTAAAGGAAAAGCTACTTGAATAAATTTGGGGTACTGAAGAAAAAAGTGAAAGATAAAGGAAAAACTTAAAGAGAACCCAGAGATTACATAGGGTCCAGCTTTCACTCTAGATAAGCATCAACTCTAAAACATCAATTCTAATTTGGTTGTCCAGTCTCTGCCTGAACATGTTCATGGATGATTATGGAGTAGAAGGAACAAAGAGGACCAGGCACAGTGGCTCACGCCTGTAATTCCAACACTTTGGGAGGCCAAGGTGGGTGGACCGCCTGAGCCCTGGAGCTTGAGACCAGCCTGGGCAACATGGTGAAACCCCATCTCTACAAAAACATACAAAAAAAATCAGCCGAGTGTGGTGGCAGGCGCCTGTAGTCCCAGCTACTAGGGAGGCTGAGGTGAGAGGATAGCCTGACCCTGGGTTGCAGTGAGCCAAGATCGCGCCACTGCACTCCAGCCTGGGCAACAGAGTGAGACCCTGTCTCAAAAAAACAAACAACAACAACAAAAAATAAACAAAAAAACAACACTGCTTTGGGTTTTCAAAACATCTGTGGTACTAATTTCAAAATGTTTCAGTACAGAATTTTAAAAATGTTAACGTCTCTTTTTTAACTAAATAAGACTGCTCCAAAACAGAGAGATCTGTTTTTTAAATGATTTTAAGAAAATATTCATTTCATGTACAAATAATAAAATGAAAATGACTGATTTATTTGAACACGTCAAATGCATATTTATGTGGTAAGTTTGCACATTTTTCTTCTTCCTTTAAAAGTTCACAATCCTCAAGAAAAGAACAAGAGTGAAAGGCATATCTGAAAAGAAAAAATGCCCCTCCCCACACATATATTCAAATAGAACTCAAATGAAATTGAGCACTAATTTTTAAGAAAAGCAAACTGTGGGCTGAGAGTAAGGAAAATGTACTCTAAGTATTAAAAGCACTAGCCAAATAAAAGAGAATATCACAACTTGGAGAAAAGTGTTTATTGACTGAATAAATATGTCCTGATGATATAATTTGTATCAACCACTAGCTATTACAGCCACCTGCCTCTGTCACCTAAAAAAAAGAGAAAAGAAAAATAACCTCCCTAAAAAAAAAAAGAGAAAGTAAAAACATACTATCTTTGAAGACACTCATGATTTTTCATTGCTATGATGCATGCTGAAACTGGTAAGCTATTTTCTCAGATGATTTCTAGTTGATTACTTTTTTCTTGACCAAGAACACTTCTATAATTCAAAATATGTTGGTTCCCAGTATCAACCACTTTTCATCCTTATAGAGGTTATTTGTTTTGTTTTTAATGTGCATAGCATATTACTAGAAAAAGTTGGGCTTAATACTCAACTCAGGAGCTCAGAGCAGCTTATAATATAGAAAAATGGCTTCTACAAATGATCTTATTACATTATAATTTCCTACCTTCCATTCAAAATCCAGCTGCTTCATAGCTCGGTAAACTTCAGCCATAATGTCATACGGTTTGCTCTGACTTCGGATTCCAAGATGCCACTTGGCTTTTTTCACAGCTAAAGATTTGGGCTTAGTCGTATTCAGTGCATCCAATGGACATCTTGCTTTGGGGCTGTCTGCTATAAGAGGTGGCATCCTTTCTGGATGAGGTTTCAGGCCTGGGGGAATATGCATGGCACTATCATCCATAAAAGAACCAGATGGAGGACTAGAGGCGAGGTAGAACTCACTGGCTTGGTTCATTATTCTCCGATTGTCAATGATAAGATGATAAGCCACTGCAAGCTGGTCTTGAGGGTCACCACTATATAAACTGTTCATTACTTCTGATTCTGTACATTCAAATTTTTCACACACTTCTTTCACAGCCTCATCATCAATGACGTTAGCATCATAGGAAGGGTCTTCAGGAAATAAGTAACTGGGCAAATCTTGTTTAAACCATTCATGCTCTCTAGGAAAAACACCACAATACATTATTGTAAGACATGGTTTGGCAAGTCCAAATAATTTAGACATAGGGCAATATAATAGAATATAATCAAAAGATCTGGTCTCTAGACCTAGCTCTGCCACTTACTAGCTATGTGATCCTGAGCAAGTTAATTACCCACCACCCTTGAATAACTATGGTTATTAAGACTTGGCATTTGGACAACATTTTCTCAAAAATGAAAAAAGCAAGCCCATCGCTTTAAGGAAAACAACCAGCAATATTTGTTGCCAATGATAAAATTCAAGCTTTCAAGCAAAAATTTCAAATTTTGTATTATTTGTGTGAGTTTAACAGCTTCTCAATACTTAAAGACTTTCTGATAAAGTTGGTGTTAATAATAATAAATATGCTTTTTTTCTTTTCCAACCACTTATCTGAGTGAGGTCAGACCTTCTTTACACACTTCAACTAATACAAAATAATGCAACAGACTGAATGAAGAAGGTATGAAAACCACACTTCAGCTAATACAAAATAGTGCAACAGATTGAATGAAGAAGGTATGAGAACCTAGCTGTCTTTGATATAAAGTAATTCTTCTCACAATTTTTTTTGGAAAATATGGTTATTTTTCATGAAAGATGTATTATTTAACATAGTTATTTTTAAGTAAATTACATATTTTCTTAATTTCTCAGTTTTAATTCTAATGTAGTAAATATTGATAGATAATAGCCTACATTTTAAAAAATCCCCCTTGAGGTCCTCAATAATTTTTAAGAGTTACAAGATTTTAAAATCAAAAAGTCTGAGAACTGCTCTCCTAAGCCTTATTTTCTCACACTTCTGGGCCTTTGTGCTTGATGTTACTATTGTTATCCTAGAATACCAAACCATTTTCATCTAACACAAACTACTCCTTCGAGATTGTTTAGGCATTATTACCTGGTAGAACTGGGCATCCCCTAAGTTCAGATGAAGATATATTCTGACTGAATGTCTTCTATTCACTGATTAATTTATTTTTGAATATTTACTGAGGACATACTATGGACAAAAAGAACCATTCCTCCCAAAGATTATATTTTAGCTGCACAGAGATTAAACAAATATACATAAAATATAGTTACAAATATACAAATATGCAAATCCTGTGATAAAGATTGCAAGAGAAATTGCATAGAGTAAAATGAGAGTATATAATTTAGAATGAGAGGCAGGTGATCAGGGAAGCCACTCTGAGTAATATTTAAGCTGACACTAGAATGATCTGAAGTCAGCTATGCAAAGAGTTGCAGAACAGATATTCCCAGCAAAAGAAACAATATGTGCAAAGACCATGAGACAAGAAAGAGTTATGCTGTGCTCTAGGAACTGGAATGAGCTCAACATCATGAAAGAAGAATGAGTTATGAGATGGAGTACCAAATGAAATCAGATATTTCTAAGAATTGTAGGCCATAAAAAGGAAATCTCATGATTTGAACTGGTGGTTGATGAAAATCATTGAAGGATTTTAAAGAGACAGGGTAGCATAACCTAGTTATCATTCTGTAAAGATCATTTTGTTTGTGGTATAGAAAATGAATTGAAAAGATAAAAATGATGCTGGGCGCCGTGGCTCACGCCTGTAATCCCAGCACTTTGGGAGGCCGAGGCAGGCGGATCACCTGAGGTCGGGAGTTCGAGACCGGCCTGACCAACATGGAGAAACACCGTCTCTACTAAAAATACAAAATTAGCCGGGCGTGGTGGCACATGCCTATAATCCCAGCTACTAGGGAGGCTGAGGCAGGAGAATCACTTGAACCTGGGAGGCGGAGGTTGCGGTGAGCCGAGATCGTGCCATTGCACTCCAGCCTGGGCAACAAGAGTGTAACTCCATCTCAAAAAAAAAAAAAAGAAAAGATAAAAATGATGATGGTGATGCTAGTTGCAATAGTCCAAGTAAGAAATACTGGTGTGCCAGGCCCTGAGGATATGTACAAAGATAAAACTTCTACAGCTACTAGACTTTTCTATCACAATACATTCTTTTAGTTGTTGATTTTTTTCTTAATCTTGCCCAGTAAACTGACAACTTCTTTTTTTTTTTGAGACAGAGTCTCGCTCAGTCACCCAGGCTGGAGTGCAGTAGCTCAATCTCCACTCACTGCAAGCTCTGCTTCCTGGGTTCACGCCATTCTCCGGCCTCAGCCTCCCGAGTAGCTGGGACTACAAGCACCTGCCACCATGCCCAGCTAATTTTTTGTTGTATTTTTTTAGTAGAGATGGGGTTTCACCGTGTTAGCCAGGATGGTCGCTGACCTCGTGATCCACCCGCCTCGGCCTCCCAAAGTGCTGGGATTACAGGTGTGAGCCACCGCGCCCGGCGACAACTTCTTGAAATAGTGACCATACCTTATTTAGCTCTACCCTACTACCTAGTAGAGTAAATGCTCAATAAATGCTGCATATATGATAAATAGACAAAGTATGGACACAAAAAATAATTCATTCATGTGTTTATTGGCTATATAATAATATTAAGCACCTATTAATGTTCAGCAATAAAAATAACTTGAGATAGATCTTTTCTATATATATTTTTTTTTGAGATGGAGTCTCGCTCTGTCACCCAGGCTGGAGTGCAGTAGCGCAATCTTGGCTCACTGCAACCTCTGCCTCCCAGGTTCAAGTGATTCTCCTGTCTCAGCCTCCCGAGTACCTGGGATTACAGGTGCACACCACCACACCCAGCTACAAAAGAAGTAAAAGAAGGCAAAAAATTATGTTACATGTCTAATATTTTTTAAATATCAATGACAAATAGAAAAGTTAAGCACTTTCAAAATAAACTCAAAAAATCTATTATTCCATAAAACAATAAAATACCAGCAAAAACTGTGAAAATCAACTTTTTCAGAACACCGGAAATTAACCAAAAACTGTGAAAATCAATTTTTTCAGAACCCTGGAAATTAACCAAAGGCTTGCAACAATCTGAAGACTGTTTATTCAAGAAAAATGGCTGAATCTCAATAAGAAAGGTGAGATTTGTGGCTTTTTAAGTTGCCCTAAGTCCGCTTCCCTTTGTCCAGCTCCTGGGCAGCCTTGAAAACCAACAGCCTCATAATCACAGAGCTGAGAAAACAGGAGCTTAACAATCACTGGGGCATTGAGGTGGGGAGAATAGAGGAGCAGAATAGTTTAGAGCTCCCCAAAAATCTTACCATGAGAGAACTGTCATTATTTTACATGTCTAGCAGTTCTCTGGAAACCTCCACTCACAAGCCTGGTTTTTATGTGACCTGACTCAGAGCTTACTCCTGCAAACAGCCTTCTCCCCAGGGCATTTGTTAAAAAAGAAAAAACAAAAATCAATGGCAACTGTCTAACATCGCAACTGCCTGAAGCAGCAGTGAAAGCTGGGTAAAGGAAAAGCTGACCAAAACACTTAAAAGGAAAAATTAGGAAACACAATTTCCAGAGGGGTCTTTGGAAAGCTCTGATATATTTCTGGGACTCAGAAAGGCCAGAAACAAATGCAGAGTTGTGTGTTTGCCTGAGAAAAAATTGAAAGGGCCATAATTTCTCACCACTGGCAGATTTTGAGGCTCTGCACAAGCAGGAAGTGAAGGCTAAGGCAGAGTTACAACTGCCTGTTGGAGCACTAAGGATATACCCCAATATCACACAAAGCCCATTAGCAAAGGATGGGAGACTTATTAGATCAGGGCATTTAAGGAAATTGTTATCTAATCACTAGCTGATCATTAAGCAAACCAAAGAGAGATTTCAGTAGCCATATATAAAAAAGAATACAGATTTTACAGAATCAGATCAGGAAAATCACTAAACAAACAGAAGTAGCAGCAACAACATACGACAATTATAAACTCTAGGTATATACACCGAAGAGAAATGAAAGCATAGCCATACAAACTGTGTATGTAAATGTTCATGGAAACAGTAGTCATAAAAGCCACAAATTAGAAACAATTCAATCTTCGTTAACTAATGCATAAACTAAATGTAGTATATTCATACACTGGAATATTTTTCAAGCAAAAAAAATGAAGTACTAATACATGCTACAGTAGGAAAGTACTTTGTAAACATTATGCTAAATGATAGATGCCAGATACAAAAGACCACATACTGTATGATTCCATTTATATGAAATGTCCACAACAGGCACAAACACAGAAAGTAGATTAGTGGTTGCCAGGGGATAGGAGGAAGGGGAAATGGGGAGTGACTATTAGTGTGTATAGTTTCTTTCACGGATGATAAAATAGTTCTGGAATTAGATGGCCGTAATGATTATGGAACTTTGTGAATACACTAAAAGCCAGTGAATTATACAATCTAAAGGGATAAATTTATGATATGTGAATTATATTTTAAAAATTAATTTTAAAAAACAATAAGGAAACAATCTAAATTTGATTTCTAATTCATTAATTTAGTCAAATGGCCATAATTGTTTGTAATAACTGACAATTTTAAAAGCCATCTTTCTAGCTTTTGATTTTCAGGAGTCAGTTTCTGAACTAACTCTACCAAAGTGAGCAGTAACTAGGATGTTTATGAAGGTTCATCTGAGACAAAAGCAATTCACTTCACATGGGCTATTATACAGGCATCAGAAATTATATTTTTCTATCACTACTACCTGATACCTGAAATTGATATATGACTTAAGGTTAGATTATAAAGACTATCAAATTTTAGAAACCTCATGATATGCCCAAATTTCTTTAAGTGCAGCTAAAAGGTTTTCAAATATTCCCTCAAAAATAATAATAGCTAATATTATGTTCTAGACATTGTTCTAAAAGCTTTAATTATATTAAGTTGAGTATTTGCAGTTTCTGATATTCAATCATTTTCAGACCTACTTAAATGGCAATTTCACAAGGTTTGATCTATGACTACGCTCCCCAAAATTCTAATATATGTGGGAAGTAACTAAGTTGCACATAGCTAATAAACAGATGCACTGGGATTTGTGCTCAGTTGAACTTCAGACCGCTCACTTTAACTATGATAACATTAATACTATTACTAAGCTTAAGATACCTGGAGAACACAAAGATGTGTTTTCCATGAAGATAATATCTATCTTGTTTACCACTATATTACCAGCACCTAGCACAAGACCTTGCACAGAGCAGATGTGAAATAAATATTTGTTGAATGAATAAAAGCGAAAATGGTTAAATAAGCAAATAAATATGAAGATATATTTCCGAACTTCCAATGGCTATCTTACAAGAAAATAATAGATGTACAAAAATAATATTGAGACAGTAAGTATGTAGTAGCATAAGAGATAAATAAAATATGATAGATTGAAAGGATAGATATCACAGAACTGATGTAACAATTTGGAATAGTATAAATGGCACAGGTTTTGAATTCAGGTAAAGTTCCAAGTTGAGCCCCATTGTGCTCCTTATTAGTTGTGTAATTTTCAACAAACACAGATTTACTTAACATTTAATATGTGTTAGACCTTGTGCATTTTGCTATGAATTAATAATTGGTCCCTAATTTAAAGTAATTTATAATTTAATAGGGGCAAACAGATACATAAATCATGATGTAACCTTTCTGAGCTTCAGTTTCATGGTTTGTAAAATGGTTTATAGCTATATATGAAAAGTCAATGCAATAACATAAGTTAAGCCATAAAGCAGAATGCTTGGTATTTTGTAATTTTTCCATGATTAGTAATTCTTTTCCCTATTGAACTATATTTTATCAAATCAAGAATTCCCAAACATTGGCCAGGCGTGGTGGCTTATGCCTGTAATCCTAGCACTTTGGGAGGCCAAGATGGGAAAACTGCTTTAGGCCAGGAGTTCAAGACCAGCCTGGTAAACATAGCAAGACCCCATCTCTTTAAAAAAAAAAAAAAAAAAGAATTAAAAAAATGAGAATTCCCAAACATTAAAAAATTGAATATAGATAAGTAAATATATATATGACATAAATTTAAAAAGATGAAAACTATAGATTCAAGTTATCATATTAAAGTATAGAGATGAATGATACTTTCATGCCATCTACCTACGTACAAATTAACTCTTCCCAGTAAATATATTTACATTTTTCTTCTGAAGTATATAAATATACAAACACCTGTTTTAAAGCAATGAATCATTACCATTTGACTTTTTTTTTAATAAAAAAAAAATTTTAATATAGATGGGCGCTTACTATGTTGACCAGGCTAGTCTTGACCTTCTGGGCTCAAGCAATCTTCCCATCTCAGCCTCGCAAAGTGTTGGGATTACAGGCATGAGACACTGCCCCCAGCCTATTACTATTCTAAATGTATATGCTGATATGAGCAGCTGCAAATATATCAGCATGTCTAATTTTCTAAGGAAAAGTCATTAACAGAAGTATATATGCTAAAGAACTATAAACACAAAGAGTTTTTTTCCTGCTAAGTTCATTTTTATAATTAAATCTGGTGGCTAATTTACACTTTTACATTGTTATACATGAGGTTTGGAACACTGAAGAAAGGCTGGGAAAAGAAAATGATACATAAATGCAAAAAGAATCATCAGTCCTTGCCTGTATGAAATCAGCAGCAGTCACATAAACAGCTATCTCAGCCATCATTTAAATATTCCAAAGGTCAGAGGTCTCAAAACAGTCTTTTCTGGAACTGGGTGCAACGACTCACACTTGTAATCCCAGCACTTTGGGAGGGCAAGGTGGGTGGATTGCTTGAGCCCAGAAGTTCAAGACCAGCCTGGGCAACATGGCAAAACTCCATTTCTACTAAAAATAAAAAAATTAAAAAAAATTAGCTGGGTGTGGTGGCTTGTGCCTATAGTCCCAGCTACTCAGGAGCCTGGGGTGGGAGGAACACCTCAGCTTGGGAGGTTGAGGCTACCTACAGTGAGCTGTGATCACACCACTGCACTCCAGCCTGGGCGACAGAGTGAGACCCTGCCTTAAAAAAAAAAAAAAATTCTTTGCTGGCTAATGATGAAAAGGGGAAAGAGTTCTGGAAAGATGTCAAAAGAACATGTTTGTAAACAAACACGGATGAAATCTTAGGTAAGAAGAAAAAACCTCTAAGAAACATGCCTTGATAAGTCATAGGCAGGATGCAGTGAATCATCTTGCTACTATACACAGGTGTGGGATATACAAAGGTCATATTCATAGGCGCATCAGCAATGGCACTTTCCAAACTTTCTCAAGTGACAAAAAAGCCTTCACAGTAAGCTGACTAGCAGCTATTGAATTCAAAAACTTAGCAAAACTTTTTATGCTTTATGTCTTTAACCATATGTAAAATACAAAATCTCACCCTATTTCTCCATTTGAAATTTCTTCAGACACTTTCTAAGCATACCATCTTTCCAGGCCTTTTAGCATTGTGTAGTCAAAGATGAATAAGACACACTCTCTACCCTGATATCATAATTTAAGAGAGAAAAAAGACACACTGAGAAATAACTAGATACAGGATGAGGATTAAATAATAAAAGCATGAACAAAATGTTGATAAAACAGAAATGGAAGCACGTGTGGAAATCACAAAAGGGGTGGCATGAACTTTAATGGATGAATGGAAGTCTATCAGGTCAAAAAAGAAACAAGAAAAGACATCAAGGCAAAGTGAATAATATAAACAAAGACATGAAGGCATAAAATCTATGTTAGGTTTGAGAAACAAGGACAAGTTCAATGTGGCTGAAGCATGAGTACTGGGGTGAGGTGGTGAGGGCAGGAAATGAGACTTTGGGAGAATCATTTAATTAACATTATTATTCCTATGAGAAAATATGCAGAACAGAAACAAAAAGAAAAATCACCTTATGTCTTTGATAGTTGCTCGTTTCAGTGGGTCAACCTGCAGCATATGCATCAGGAGAGTGGCGACAGAACGATTGAGATATTCTGGGATATAAAAGACACCCCCTCGGATCTTCTTAAATAACGTAGGTACATGCTCATCATCAAATGGGAGGGTGCCACAAAGAAGAGCATACAAGATAACACCACAGCTCCAGATATCAACTTCAGGACCTGCATACAATCTAAGAAAAAAGATGACAACACAAACCTGAAATGCAAGAATCACTTTTTCTCTATGTACCCTACTTCTATATATAGGTAGTCTACATTCAGTACATATTCATTTCCAAGGTCTTTAATGAAGTCCATGGCTGCTCCCCAATATTCAGTGTTTGTTCCCCAAAGAGAGTAATGGGGCTAGCCAACTACTATTCAAGCCTGCCAAGTGAATAGGGTATTTTTATTTGTCACAAATTCATTTAACTGAAACATACGAATTAAAACATATAATACTTTCTGTGGTTGATTTTTGAGGGAAACAAAGTAGATGACCACAAACTTGAAAAAATACTATGGTGTATAGGTTAAATCTTTTTCCCAAAGAACTATTACAAGAAAGAAAACATATATATAATGTATACATATAATAGAATTTCTACCCCTGGCACACCTTTAAAGAATATTAAGGCTGGTCACGGTAGCTCACACCTGTAATCCTAGTACTTTGGGAGGCTGAGGCGGGCGGATTGCTTGAGGCTACGAGTTTGAGGCCAGCCTGGGCAACATGGTGAAACGCTGTTTCTACTAAAAATACAAAAAATAGCCAGGGATGGTGGTGCACATCTTAGTCCCAGCTACTCAGAAGGCTGAGGTGGGAGGATCATCTGAGCCCAGGAGGTGGTACAGTGAGCTGAGATTGTGCCACTGCACTCTAGCCTAGGTGACAGAGCGAGACTCTATCTCAAAACAAAAAATATATATATATATATATATAATATATCATATATATAGAGAGAGAGATATTTAAAACATTAAAGTACTTAATTAGTACTGTGTAGACAGTATTTATCCTGTATCACATTATCCTGAGTACTTACTATTTCTATTCTCATCACTTCCTAACTCATATGACTAAAATCATCTTTGATCCAGATAACCTATGCTTATAGTATTATTCCTTTTTTCTCTTACGTTTCTACAGCATTACAATTCCCATGATAGCATATTACCATACTCAAACCTGGGTCTGAGGTAACAAAGTAAATCTTTACTATTCTAATGAAAAGAATATAATCTGTTTATATAAAAAATGGTGATTGTTTACATCATTTGCTGTATTGTTCAAACTCCTTGCAATGGACTGAATGCTTATGTCCTCTCAAAATTCATGTGTTGAAATCCTAACCCCCAAGGAGATAGTATTAGGAGGTGGGGACTTAAGGGGGGTGATTAGGTCACTAGTGCAGAGTTCTCATGAATGGGATTAGTGCCCTTATAAGAGCGACCCCAGAGAGATCCCTTGTCCCTTTCACCATGTGAAGTTACAGTGAGCATACAGTAGTCTATTAGGAAGCAGACCCTCACCAGATACCAAATCTTGATCTTGGACTTCCCAGACTTCAGAACTGTGAGAAATACATTTCTGTTGTTTATAAGCTATCACCTTTATTGTATCTTTCTTATAGCAGCCCAAATGGACTAAGATAATTCTTTATCTGCTATTTGCAATAATACTTTAACCATATTTTCTCTTATAGGATTCTGTTAACTTTTAAAATCACACGTTGATCACTGTAGAAAGACTTGAGTTTACCACTGCAATCTGTATAAACATTTTTATAATGTACCAATGAATAAGTTATGAGTAACTACACAATCTCTACTTGTGTAATTTCATGAAACAATATTTTCCCCCAAAATCTCATTTTTCCAAACACAAAATATAAAACAATGCTCTATATACTTTGGAAAATATGCAAGGTATTATTAAAGAACTATATCTAATAAATAAATGACACTAGCTTAAATTTAGCAAATTCTTACTCTCTTATCTGCACTTTTGTAAAATGAAAGATATGTTAAATCAGGATCTACTTCAGTTATTTTTCTAATGGGGAAAACTTCGTAAGTATATTTATAATGACATCTAAATGAAATGTTTAACATTTTTTGATATAACCATTATCCCTTTAACAGTGGAAAAATAAATGAATAATCCATTTCTACCATGTTAAAATCTTACCTTCCATAGAGAATATATTGTAATTAAATGTTATCAAAATGAACACAAGATTACAAAAAGCTTATGCTTCACTGATTATTACCTGCCTGAGATGACTTCAGGTGCTGCATAATTTGGAGATCCGCAACTAGTTCTCAGAAATTCACCATCTGACATCATATTAGATAATCCTAAAAATAAAAGTAATGTTTACTTGGTGCTAGATATTTTTAAAAGTAGATAAAGTCATATAAATATGAGCAAAATTTCAAGTCCTGGATCCTCCATATATCATTTTTTTTTAAGTTATTAAAAAAAAGCAGTGGAAAGCATTTAACTGGAAAGAGACCGTCTCAGAGTGCTTACACTGTAACAAAAAGCTAAAGCACATCACATATATGAGTGAAACTAAATTTCCTTTCTAAATAAAAATGTTGATTCCCATCACAAATGAGGTTATTCTGAAGCATATTAACTTTCCCAAACATGAAAACATCAAAATATTATTTACCTATTTCCATAGTTGAAAGAATAAAATAGAGACTACTACTTTTTTGCCCTGTGCTTTCAAAAGCCTCTTTAAATTCTGTAATTAGAAACCAGATGGGCCCCACCTCATAAAGAGATTATGTTCCAAAAGTTTTTAATTTAGAAATATTTAATTCAACATGGAAAAAATAATCTATTGAACCAAAAATCTAGCTGAGCTATAGTAATAAATAAGTTTCATGATTTAGAGAAGGAAGAGAAATAGAGAAAGTAGTTTCTAGGTTTTTAGATTAAAGACAAGGTATAGACCACAAATAGGCAACAATAGCCTGTACCTTTCTATCTCTTTCTCTTTAATCTCTCACTTCCTAGTCTTTTTCTCAAATACCCTATTAAGGCATCCTTTCCACGTATGTTTATCCCAGAAAGTGTTTGGAGTATAAAAATCACATTTTATGTACCTTTTACCCCTGACAAAAACTGTTCTCTAATCAAGTTATTAGACGTTACACCTAAGGACCTCTTTGTGGATCAGTTCAGAAGGGCTTTTTTCCAACTGCATGCATATTTTCAGGTACCTTGGTTTATATGCATTCATCAGGGAAAGTGCCCATACTTTCATGAGATTTTCAAAGAAGTCTGGGACTCCTCCCCTCTCTTCAAAAAAAAAAAAAACAAAAAAACAGTTATGCATCATTTCCTTAGGAGAAAATGCAGATTGAATGGATTTATCTTGATGACAACCTTCTAACTTCTCTAGAGGTATCTGCATTTTTAAAGTGTATTTAATGAAAATTAATGAAAATTTAATTAAATGAAAAAAAAAAGCTACTGAGGAGATTTCAGCTAATTCCTTTTCATGGTACAGAACGTACAAGGTTGAAAAGTAAAGTTCTTAGTTCAATGAGTTGTTATGCTTTAAAAGGTAGCTAGTACCTTTCTGAACAACCCTGGAGTTACATACCGAAATCGGCTATCTTGGCATTCATGTGTGCATCCAACAGGACATTCTCTGGTTTCAGGTCTCGATGAACAACCATATGCCTATGACAGTAATCCACAGCAGACAGAATCTGCTGAAAGAGCCGCCTGGCTTCCATCTCTTCAACCTATCAAGCACAAAAGAAACTGCATTAAGAATATCTGGGGCTGGGCACAGTGGCTCATGCCTGTAATCCCAGCCAAGGCAGGTGGATTACCTGAGGTCAGGAGTTTGAGACCAGCCTGACCAATAAGGTGAAACTCCATCTCTACTAAAAATACAAAAATTAGCCGGGCATGGTGACATGCACCTGTAGTTCCAGCTACTCAGGAGAGTGGGACACGAGAATTGCTTGTACCAGGAGGCAGAGGTTGCAGTGAGCTGAGATCATGCCACTGCGCTCCAGCCTGGGCAACAGAGCAAGAGTCTGTCTCAAAAAAAAAAAAAAAAAAAAAATCTGAGACATCTATTTGACAAGAGTTTTAATTTCATAATTAGGCTAAATATAATTAAGCAAGCTAGAATTATGTTGGAATTCTCAACAAATCAGACAAAATAAACCAACCAAAAGCTTGTCAAAGCTCAACATGTCAAAAGACAAGTTTGTCTTTGTCGCTAAGCAGAAATATTTAAATTTCAATTAATATTATTAAATGTGCACAATGTTTTGGGGAATTGACAGTAAAACAAACTAAAACAGAACATATGTGAAAGTGCTAAGAAAAGGAAATAACTGATCTTCAACATGATTTTATGGAACAGATTTTAAAAAGCATACGCATCATGTTGGCAATTAAGTGAAACATATTTTCTAAAATCAGTATTTCAAAAGGAATGCTTTTTAAGAAAGAAAATTTATCTAACACTCTACATGTTTAGTTGAGCACTACCATAAAAGCAACTTCAACCTTGAAGATATCTTTGCATTGTTCTATGTCCCAATACTTTCCTTTTTATTAGTTTAGAGATTTAGTGTACCAGATAGTATGTTACTCACCCGTCCATGCTTACAGATGTAGTCAAATAATTCACCTCCAGACACATATTCCATTACCATAAAAAAATCTGTTGGAGTGCTGATCACCTGGTATCTTTTTTGTTAATTAAAAAAAGTTAACAAAGTATGTTACTTTAACCAAAATCAAACTGGTATATCTACTCTTGCTACAATTTTATATTTCAATGTTTTATAATACTTTAAGATGGCAACAAATTACATGTTATCAAAATAATCACAGAGCAATAAACACGGACCATTACAAAATTATTCTATTTCTTGAGGCTCACGGCCGTTCCTTTAGATCCTCCCTTTCAAGTTTACATAATTTTTGAAATCTTTCCCTCTTCAACAACTAATTTTTCCATATAAACAAAAATTTGTTTACAGTAAAAGGAGATGAGGTATCACATATTTAAAGATAAACAGAAAATATACTTGGGCCAGACACTATGGCTCATGCCTGTAATCCCAGCACTTTGGAAGGCCAAGGTGGGAGAATCACTTGAGCTCAGGGCAATGTTTTGGGGAATTGACAGCAAAACAAACTAAAACAGAACATACATGAAAGTGCTAAGAAAAGAAAATAACTGATCTTCAACATGATTTTATGGAACCGATTTTGAAAAGCATAGGCTTCATGTTGGCAATTAAGTGGAATATATCTTCTAAAGTCAGTATTTTACCAGCCTGGGCAACATAGCAAGACCTCATTTCTGTAAAACATACATATATTTTCCTGGACACGTAACATGATACTACAGGGATACATTCAGCAAAATCCAGGAAGTGAAAAATGACCATTTCCTCAACAAATAAAATGCAAGAAAAAAAGGGAAAGGATAAACTATACGTTAAAAGTAACTTAAGAGACATATTGACCAATTATGCTGTATAGACTTATTTTGATTCTGATTCAAATAAACCAACTTTAAAAACCATTTATGAAACAATCAGGAAAGTCTACATGCTGATTAGTGGTGGATAATGTTGTTAATTATTTTAATTAAGATGTGATAGGCCGGGCGTGGTGGCTCACGCCTGTAATCCCAGCACTTTGGGAGGCCGAGGCGGACAGATCACAAGGTCAGGAGATTGAGACCATCCTGGCTAAACCAAACACGGTGAAACCCCGTCTCTACTAAAAATACAAAAAATTAGCTGGGCATGGTGGCGGGCACCTGTAGTCCCAGCTACTCGGGAGGCTGAGGCAGGAGAATGGCGTGAACCCGGGAGGCAGAGCTTGCGGTGAGCCAAGATCGTGCCACTGCACTCCAGCATGGGCAACAGAGCGAGACTCCGCTTCAAAAAAAAAAAAAAAAAGATGTGATGATACTATGCTTATGTTATTTAGAGTTTAAAAAAGTATTTTCTAGAGTAGATACTGAAGAGTTTACAGATTAAAAAGATAATGTTGAGATTTGCTTCAAAATAATCTGGCGTAGATAAAACAATGAATTGACTACTGTTGAAGGTGAATAAGACATGCATGGGGTTTCACCGCGTTACTTTTGTAAATGTTAAACAATTCCCATCATGAAAAATTAAGAGTGTGTGTGTGTGTGTGTGTGTGTGTGTGTGTGTGTGTGTCTGTGTGTCTGTGTTTCTAGGCATCCAAAGCTGGGCACATTAAAAACTAAGAAAAAAAATTAGCTTTATTTGATAAAATAAATTTTTTTCCCAAAAACTACAACTTACACCCCTATACACAATTTTACCAAACCAAGTTTTGGAGACGTTAAAATTAGTTACTTTTTTTCTTTTGTTTGAGACAGAGTCTTGCTCTGCCACTCAGGCTGGAGTGCAGCGGCCATGCTCTCGGCTCACTGCGCACCCCACCTCCTGGGTTCAAGAAATTCTCCTGCCTCAACCTCCCGAGTAGCTGGGACTACAGGCATGCACCACCATGCCCGGCTAATTTTTGTATTTTTAGTAGAGAGGGGGGTTTCACCATGTTGGCCAGGCTGGTCTCGAACTCCTGACCTCAAGTGATCTGCCCGCCTTGGCCTCCCAAAATGCTGGGATTACAGGCATGAGCCACCAAGCCTGGCCAGAAGAAATATTTTGAATGGCAATCATTAGTCTTTGGGAAGAAACATGGCAAGGTATTCTAATTTATATAAAATAAACGAATATGACTGAAGAAGAATTGAGACTATTTCAAATGAACTTTGGAAAGGTAATTATACTGAGAACTCTAGAAGAAATAGTTTTATAAAAGCTATCTTTACAAGCACCAAAGTGATCACGTAAACTGAATACTGTAGGGCAGGTGCATCTGCTGTAGCACCTCACTGTAGGTTGGTCTGATTTAGTAACAATTTTCAATCACTTTTGTGCTCTGTACATCCTAGATGGGGCACAAAAGAAAAGAAGTGATGACATTCTAATAAATAAATTTAGCTGCCATTTCTGAGTATATCACAGGTCTTCAACAGATATTCTTGGAATTAATTATTTCATGAAACCTCTAAATCCTTAGCAGCCACTGTCTTACACTAAAGGCCAGTCTAGAGCAATGAAAATCATAACGTTACTAAGCACTTACTGTCTGCCAGGCACTAAGCTATTAAATGGTGACACAACATTTATTGAGTACCTACTTGTATTGTACTCGGTGAGATCAAAAGTTGGTGCCTCTACTCGTGGAGCTTACAGTTTAGCCAGAAAGACAGACATTAAATAAAGATTCTCTTCAAACACAAATATGATCTCCAGTAGCCTCTCAATTTAGAATCTTCAAAGGTTTCCCATTGCTCTTAGGTCCTGAATAAATCAGGCCCTTGCCATCTCTGTTGTTTGGTCTCACCTTTGAGTCACAACACTGAGTCATACTACATTTTTCAGTGTTAGTCATGCTGTACCTCCTCCTGCTACAGCTCCTTTGTATAAGCTGTTTTCACTGACCTGAATCCTATACTATGACCTGAGTGAGCCCTAATCATCCTTTAGATCTCAGCTTAAAAGTCACTTCCTAAGTCCAGGTGAGGTGCCTTTTTGCACTCACAGATGCGTTTTCCTGAGCTTCAGACCACGCATCTCAGTTTGTAATTATATGTTTTTATTATTACAATAATTTGATTAATGAATATGTATTTAGTAAAGTGCCTATAACAAAGTAGGTATTTAAGTAAATGTATAAATTAGCACTTTTAAATAACGTGAGTGCTTAGAGCCAAAACCAGAGTAATCTGAAACTGAAAAATCATAGCAAAATTACAGCAAAACTTCAACCAATAAAATTTCCCTTTGTCCCCCACCCCTAACCACAATGGGGTAGGGACAAAGGGAAACAAATTTCAGAAGGAAGACGTCTTAAAAAGACAGTTTTACATTAAGGATTTAGTGGAAAAGGCAAATTCCAGGATTACATTCTAAGCCTGGCCTGAGTAAGTCAAATCTCTTGTGCTGTCTAAAATACAAGTATATTGAAGCATTACAAGAAATTCAATCATGAATCACTCATACTTCTCAGTATTATTTTCCTAGTACAGCAGAGAAATAAACTAATGTAGTTTAAAAATTTTTCAGAAACAGCATTTCTAATTGGTAAAAATAAATTAATAATCCAGAAAAATCCTAAGCATTTTCCAGTTGACCAAGTTATACGCATTTTTAGGAAATAGCCACATAAAATAGTATATGAAAATCAAAAAAAATAGAAATCTTTCCAAAGTTAGCCAAAAATCAACATTCATGAGTACACCTTTTTGGTGGTAAAATCTATTGAGATTTTAGAATATTATTTATGTAGCTACATACACATAAGATTTTTCTTTAGTTAGAACTCAGTTACATAGAAATGTAGCAATCATGCTTGGTTGATGACACTTGTCTTCAGTAGTCCATGAATGACCTTTTATTTAATTACTATTTTTAATAATGTAATACCTACAAACCCATCACTCAGACAAAAAGGCCAAGACCTTGACAACAGCTTCCAACTAATTAATATAGGGATCCGCCTTCCCCATCCCATTGCTTCTCACCCAATGCAGCTGTCATCCTGAACACCCTGTTTATCCTTTCCTCCCCACCTCTTTTATACAGTTTATATATGTACATATGCATGTGTGTGTATCCCCTCTCTCTACATATGTATATTTCATATATATGAATAATTCAAATTCATATATATGTTAAACTGTTCTTTGCTTTAAAAACCAGGTATCACGCTCTATGTAATATTCTAGAAGTTATTTTATTGAGATTCAATCCTATTGTTGTGTTTGCTGTAGTTATTTGATTTGACCATTGTTATATCCTATTGTATTTATTCATCTACTCTACCACTAAAGAGTTTTGGCCAGGTGCGGTGGCTCATACCTGTAATCCCAGCACTTTGGGAGGCCGAGACAGGTGAATCACCTGAGGTCGAGAGTCTGAGACCAGCCTGACCAACATGGAGAAACCCCATGTCTACTAAAAATAAAAAATTAGCCAGGCGTGGTGGCACATGCCTGTAATCCCAGCTACTAGGGAGACTGAGGTACGAGAATCGCTTGAACCTGGGAGGTGGAGGTTGCGGTAAGCTGAGATCACGCCATTGCACTCCAGCCTGGGCAACAAGAGTGAAACTCTGTCTCAAAAAAAAAAAAAAAAAAGAGTATTTAGGTTGTTTCTATAATGTTGCTATTATTTGCTGCTGTGAACATTAATATGGTTTGTATGTTCATCCCCTCCAAATCTCATGTTGAAATGTGATTCCCAATGTTGAACATGGGGACTGGTGGGAGGTGATTGGATCATGGGGGTAGATCCATCCCTCATGAATGGTTTAGCACCATTGCCTCAGTAATAAGTGAATTCTTGCTCAGTTCATAAGAGAGCTGGTTGTTTAAAGGAGACTGGCTCTTCCTCCTTCCTCTCTTGCTCTCCCTCACCATGTGACACCCTGGCTGCCAGTTGCCTTCTGTCATGATTGTAAGCTTCCTGAGACCCTTACTAGAAGTAAAAGCCAGCACCATGTTTCCTGTACAGCCTGCAGAACTGTGGGCCAATTAAACCTCTTTTCTTTATAAATTACCCAGCCTTCAGTATTCCTTTATAGTAATGTAAAAATGGACTAACACGAACATTCTTCTACATGGCAAGATTTTCTCCTTGATATACACTGATGAGTGCAACTGCTGAGTCATAGTTATTGTGTATGTTCCAATTGAAAAGATAATACCAAAGACAGTTTTCCAAAGAAAGTTTGGCAATGCTAAAATCTTTAGAAAACTGGTGGATTTATATATTCTCCAACAGTTGCAAAACACCATATACATTTCTTCGTAGAAAATGCTGTGTCTTTTGCCCATGCTTATTGAGTTGACAGTACTTTTCTTATTTATGTATGGACATATAGAATAAGTCAAACTTTCTATAACATTCTAGAGTCTAAGGTAATTAATGTCTTGGTTATTAACTTTGTAAAAGTATATGTTTTCAGTCATCATTTCACATTGAATTTGGATTTCACTTCCTTTGTAAATAAATCTGTACATATCTCTAAAGGATAACTTAAAAATATATGTGTGTATGCACAATATGCAAAATATTGTTATCATGCATAAATTTAAAAAACCATGAATGTCATCAAATATCCAATCAGAAGATTTATTGATACAAACACAATCAATATATTGTAATTGGCTCATTTGTCTCTTATGTCTCTTCTAATTTATAGGTTGCTCCTCTATCTCTGTTGTTTTTTTCTTGCATTCTTTTGTGGAAGAAACCAGTTAGTTTGTTAAAGAGGATTCCACAGTATGAATTTTGTTGTTCCATCCTTTATAGCAGCAAAATGCACAATTTCTAACCCACTCTTAAATCTAGATACTTGATCAGATTTGTTTCATTTTTGCAATTTTTGTTTTCATTTGAAAGACTAAGTAGTGTAGTGTACCTCTAGCCAAAGGCATATAATGTGTCTCTTTTTCTGACACATTGGAAGCCACTGTTGATCAGAGCCTAGATGCATTAATTCACATTAATTTAATGAAATCTTAAATGCTGGCAAATTTGCATAGTCTAGTAATGAATGAATTCTGATCTAAAAGAAATTCTTACCCAAAACTTCCTCCCTCAAAAATCTCATTGTCTTTGAAGTGCAGGCCATCAGATAATACCTCCTCATACCTTTTCACATTATAGTCATCAATCAATCTTTTACTAACTCCTTCTCATTCTGAATTAATGTCTTTTTCCCCATTGCTACTACTGTCACTGTTTCAGGTGTAAGTGATATCTTTATAGATAATCTGTGATATAAACAGACATGTTAACATCATAGTGCTCTAGAGCTCAGTCCTTGGACTTCTTGTTTATCTGTACTCATATCTTTGGTAACCGCATCCAGTCTTAAGGCTTAAAATATCTTAACATATGGCCTTTAAGTTCTTTGAATGCCTCATTTCTAATTATCTTTTCTTCCACCACACACAGCCAACCACTCCATGGTCATATACTTTCAAAGACTAACTCCTCCAGTTATGCACTGGATTATCTCCCACACCTACGAAGGGACTTGGCTTCTATAATTAGCCCCTCTTTCTTTTGTATCAATTCCTTCCTCTTGACTGAATCACTCCTTTTGGCATACCAACATTCTACAATATCTCCCATTTTAAAAAGCTAACCTTGTTTAGACTCCTCATTTCCTTCTGGTTACCACTCCTATGTCTCTCCTCTCCTGCCTATAGTTACTATCTCCCCTTTTTTATCTCATATTCCCTCTTAAACCCTTTACATCAGGTTTTTGCCCTCATCATTCCAATAAATTGGTTCTTTTCAAAGACAACAGCAACCTCCACGTTGCCAAATCCAACAGTCAATTCTCCGTTATCATCTTACTCAATATTCACCAGTAAAAGGGACAGTTGGTGATCTTTCCTAAAACACTTTCTTCTCTTGGCTTCAAGATACCCGATTCCCCTAATTTTCCTCCCACCTCACTGATCATTTTCATTCTCTTTTACTGGTTCCTCCTCATTTTTCAGACATGTTAGCATCATAGTGTTCTAGAGCCCAGTCCTTGGACTTCTTGTTTATCTTGGTGATTTCATCCAGTCTTAGGGCTTTAAATATCTTAAATACAGTCTGTCTGCTGATGGCTTCCAAATTTATCTCTCTAGCTTACACCTCTCCCCTGAACTCCAGATTCACTTATTCAACAGCCTACTTACATCTCTACTTGGATGTCTAATAAGCATTTCAACTTCATAAAACCAAAATTAAATTGTTGAAACCACCCCCCTAACATCCCACCTCAAACCTGTTCCTCCTACAATCTTCTCCACTTCAGTTACTGGCAACTCCATCCTTGTTTTTTCGCCGAGGCCAGATGCCTTGGCGTCATCCTTAACTTCTTTCCTCTCACAACTCACATTTTATCTGTTAGCAAATGCTGTTGACTCTATCTTGAAAGTACATACAAAACATGCTTACTTCTAAACACTACTACACTATGCTGTATTTCAAGCCAACATCATCTTTTACAGATCACTGCAATTGACTCCCAATTGGTTTCCCTGCTTCAACTCTTGCTCACCTACAGTCTAAATGTAAGTCAGATCACATCATACCACTAATCAAAGCCTTCCAATGGCTTCCCATCTTAGACAAGAGTAAAAGCCAAAGCCCTGACAATGGCCTATAATGCCCTTTATGTCTCTGACCTTATCTCTCACTCTAATCTTCCTAGATCATTCTGCTCCCTTGATCTCTGACCTGCAGGAATTTCTACTTTCCTTTGTATTTGCTCTTCCCTCTATGTGTAACATTCACCCACTTCAGATATCTACATGGCATATCCCCTCACCTCTTCACTGTCTAACATATGACATATAATAAGGGATTTATTGTCTATTTCCCCACCACCCCTCCACCACACACTAATATAATCTCTATAATAGCAAGGATTTTGTTGTTGTTGCCTTTTTGTCTGTTGCTGTATCCCTAGTGCCTAAATGGTGTCATCTGTTGAATGAATGGATCAACCAACAACCTGCCTTTCTGGCTTTATTTTTCCACTTCCCTATACATACTCTGTGCACCAAACAAACCAGACTGTTTGTTCCCAATACACCATATTCCTCACACTTTCATTCTTTTGTTCTTGCTTGGACTCCTAGAGCCATCAGGACCTTGTTCAAATGTCATTATGGAGCTACAAGTAATTATTGAATACCTACTACTGTGCTAGTTGCAGGAGAGATAAAGATGATAGATGATATCTCCATTTACATGTCTAATGGATTCTTAGCTTATCATGGCCAAAACAATATCCTTAATGTTCACATCTCTCTAATGTTTCTTTTCCATTCTTTCCATCTCAGAAAATGACACCACTATCACTACCTACTTGCTCAAGCCAAAACCCAAAATCCCAGTTGCTTAAGCAAAAAAAAAAAAAAAAAAAAAAAAAAAAAAATTCCTTTCTTTCTCCTCCTTATCTAACCCATCAGTAATACATTAGTTCTCCCTCCAAAATACATATCAAATCCATCCATTTCTCTCCATCTAGACCAGGACTGTTGAACAGAACTTCCTACAACGATAGAAATGTTTTTTATCTGCTCTGTCCAACACAGTGGTCACTAAACATATGCAGCTATTAAGTACTTGAAATGTGGCTAGTGTGACCAGACAACCAAATTTTTCATTTTAATTAATTTAAATTTACACAGCCACATGTGGCCACTGGCTACTGTATTAGCCAACACTAATCTAGATTATCACTTTGGTTAAAGCCACCATAATCTCCCAGGTAGACTATAGCAATAGCTTCCCAACTGGTCTGTCTGCTTCTACTTCTGCCACCATACCCATTCTACACTATATTCATATCATGTTACTTCTCCAACTCTCCAAAAGTTCCTATTTAGAACACAATCAAATTTCTTAGCAAGGCCTTCAAATCCCTTTGTTATCTGGTCCCCATCTACTCTTAGAATTCCTGAACTACTTCTCTTCTCCTCACTCCACTCCTGAGAGTACATAATCTTCCTTTGCCTACAACACTTGAAGTTTGCTTCACCTCTTTGATGTTGCTCTTCCCCTTGCTTTGAAAACATTCTGTCCCCAGATTTTCACATGTCAGATCTTCATCATCCTTTAGGTCTTAGGTCAAACCTATCTTCTTAGTGAGGCTTCCTCATACCTAATCTAAATTAGCCCTTCTTCTTTCCTAGTCACACTCTGTGACAGCACCATGTTTCATTCTCATAGCACTTATCTTTACCTAAAATGATCTTGTTAATTTGTTTACTTACTGTCCAGAACATAAAAAACACAAGAAAGAGACTCTGTCCTTCATGATTATATCCCCTATGCCTAGAACAGCACCCAACCCATAGTAGGTGCTCAATAAAAATCCCATTCACAATTGCTTCAAAGAGAATAAAATACCTAGGAATCCAACTTACAAGGGATGTGAAGGACCTCTTCAAGGAGAACTACAAACCACTGCTCAATGAAATAAAAGAGGACACAAACAAATGGAAGAACATTCCATGCTCATGGATAGGAAGAATCAATATCGTGAAAATGGCCATACTGCCCAAGGTAATTATAGATTCAATGCCATCCCCATCAAACTACCAATAACTTTCTTCACAGAATTGGAAAAAACGACTTTAAAGTTCATATGGAACCAAAAAAGAGCCCACATTGCCAAGACAAGCCTAAGCCAAAAGAACAAAGCTGGAGGCATCACGCTAACTGACTTCAAACTATACTACAAGGCTACAGTAACCAAAACAGCATGGTACTGGTACCAAAACAGAGATATAGACCAATGGAACAGAGCAGAGGCCTCAGAAATAATACCACACATCTACAACCATCTGATCTTTGACAAACCTGACAAAAACAAGAAATGGGGAAAGGATTCCCTATTTAAAAATGGTGCTGGGAAAATTGGCTAGCCATATGTAGAAAGCTGAAACTGGACCCCTTCCTTACACCTTATACAAAAATTAATTCAAGATGGATCAAAGACTTAAATGTTAGACCTAAAACCATAAAAACCCTAGAAGAAAACCTAGGCAATACCATTCAGGACATAGGCATGGGCAAGGTCTTCATGTCTAAAACACCAAAAGCAATGGCAACAAAAGCCAAAATTGACAAATGGGATCTAATTAAACTAAAGAGCTTCTGCACAGCAAAAGAAACTACCATCAGAGTGAATAGGCAACCTACAGAATGGGAGAAAATTTTTGCAATCTACCCATCTGACAAAGGGCTAATATCCAGAATCTACAAAGAACTTAACAAATGTACAAGAAAAAATCAAACAACCCCATCAAAAAGTGGGCGAAGGATATGAACAGACATTTCTCAAAAGAAGACATTTACGCAGCCAACAGACACATGAAAAATGCTCATCATCACTGGCCATCTGATAAATGCAAATCAAAACCACAATGAGACACCATCTCACACCAGTTAGAATGGCGATCATTAAAAAGTCAGGAAACGACAGGTGCTGGAGAGGATGTGGAGAAATAGGAACACTTTTACACTGTTGGTGGGACTGTAAACTAGTTCAACCATTGTGGAACACAGTGTGGTGATTCCTCAAGGATCTAGAACTAGAAATACCATTTGACCCGCCATCCCATTACTGGGTATATAGCCAAATGATTATAAATCATGATGCTATAAAGACACATGCACACGTATGTTTATTGTGGCACTATTCACAATAGCAAAGACTTGTAACCAACCCAAATGTCCATCAGTGATAGACTGGATTAAGAAAATGTGGCACATATACACCATGGAATACTATGCAGCCATAAAAAAGGATGAGTTCATGTCCTTTGTAGGGACATGGATGAAGCTGGAAACCATCATTCTCAGCAAACTATCACAAGGACAGAAAACCAAACACCGCATGTTCTCACTCATAGGTGGGAATTGAACAATGAGAACACTTGGACACAGGAAGGGGAACATCACACACCAGGGCCTGTCATGGGGTGGCAGGAGAGGGGAGGGATAGCATTAGGAGATATACCTAATGTAAATGACGAGTTAATGGGTGCAGCACACCAACATGGCACATGGATACATATGTAACAAACCTGCACATTGTGCACATGTGCCCTAGAACTTAAAGTATAATAAAAAAAATTTTTTTGAATTAAAAAAAAAACCATAATTCCTGCTCCTAAGTACTTCAGTCTTGTGGGAAATACCAATAAGAAAATGTGCAATTACAACACAATTTAAGGGCTTCGGAAAAGGTGAACATTGAGTGCTTTGAGAGCAAAGAGGAGTTAGAGCCTAACCTAGTCTTAGTGAGTAAAGTAGGTTTTCAGGGGTACAGTTGATCCTCAGACAATGTGGGGGTTAGGGTGTCAACCCCTGTGCATCAAAAATCCACGTTTAACTTTTGACTACCCCTAAACTTAACTACTAATAGCCCACTGTTGAGCAGAAGCCTTACAGATAACAGAAATAATTAACACACATTTTGCATGTTAAATGTATTATTTACTGTATTCTTATAGTAAAGTAAGCTAGAGACAAGAAAATGTTATTAGGAAAATCATAAGGAAGAGAAAATATACCAACTACTCATTAAGTGGAAATGGATCACCATCAAGGTCTTTATCCTTGTCATCTTCATATTGAGTAGACTGAGGAGGAAGAGGAAGAGGAGGGGTTGGTCTTGCTGTCTCAGGATAGCAAAGGTGGCATAAAACCCAATCATAAGTAGACCAATGTGGTTCAAACCCATACCGTTCAAGGGTCAAATGTAATTGCACTTAAAAGACAAGTTGGAATTGGCAGCCTAGGGAAAGGGAGATGTGGATAAAGTATTCCAAGCAGAGGAAACAGCTGAAGTACAACAAGCAAGATGGTAACCTGACAGAGCAAAGAAAAATGGATAAATTCAGAGGACACTTAGGAAAAAGAAGTGCAGACCTTAATGATTGATTGTATGTAAGAAATGAGGGAAAAGAAGAAATTAAAGATTTTGCCCAAGTTTGGGGCTTGGGAAACTGCATGAATGGTATTTTCATTTACCTCCCTCCACTCTCCCACCACACCCTCCAAAAACAGAGAAGTAAATTTGGAAGAGAGAGAAAAGTTTAGCTTCAGGTGACTCTGTGACTTTAGAATGTGAACATCCGATAAACAATTTGATAAATGTGCTCAGAAATCTGGAGAAACAAAAGGGCCAGAAATCATAAAGATTTGGAAATCTTCAGCATAGAGATGGCAAATGGCACCATGGTAGTAGATGAAATCATCAAAAGAGGGTTCACTAAGAAAATTACACTAGCTCAGTGTACTTGACTGCATCAATACTTAACAGCCAGGAAGATAAAGCGGGGCCCATAAAGGAAAGTTTTCAGAATAAACAAGAATGAAAAAAAGAAAACAGAAGCCTGAGGTGTCATGGAAACCTAGAGACAACATTTCAAGGTGGTGCTGGCGGTTAATGATGTTAAAAAGCAGGCCATAGGTTAAATAAGATAGACTAAAAAGAATTAGGCTGGGCATGGTGGCTCACGCCCGTAATCCCAGCACTTTGGGAGGCCAAGGTGGGCAGATCACGAAGTCAAGAGATCAAGGCCATCCTGGCCAACATGGTGAAACCCCGTCTCTACTAAAAATACAAAAATTAGCTGGGTGTGGTGGTGTGTGCCTGTAGTCCCAGCTACTCAGGAGGCTGAGGCAGGAGAATCGCTTGAACACAGGAGGCGGAGGTTGCAGTGAGCTGAGATCATGCTACTGCACTCCAGCCTGGGCAACAGAGCGAGACTTTGTCTCAAAAAAAAAAAAAAAAAAAATTAGACAAGATCATCTCTACCAGACTAACAAGCATCTTTTGACCAAGTAAAATCAAGTTGCATTAAGAATTATGGAGGAAAGAAAAAAAAGGACAAAAATCAATTCAACAAATTCTACTTCATAGGAAAGTTTGGATTTTTCTTTAAATCCTATTTGTGCCTTTTAATTTTCTACCAGTGGGTTTTAGGTCATTCATTTGTAATTTTTTTTTCAATTTGGGTTAATAAAGAAATCATGCAATAAATATCCTTCATTCTTGGCATTCAATGCTCAAACTTTCTTGCTAATTCTAGAGTCCCACTTTTGCAATAAGGAAACTATTCCTGACAGTCCAAGGCTACACAAAAGAAAACCACTGAAAGGGTAAGGTTGCTCTCTCTGTTTAAATCACTAACACTGTTACAGACGATGTCAATAAGCTTCTTCTGTAGCAAAAATACATGAGTGTTTTTTTGTTTGTTTGTTTTTTGTTTTAAGATCAGATCTACAATTAAAGAGGCAATGTGGCTGAATGAATTAATCTCAAGGCTGGAAGCCAAAAGTTTTAAACTGCAAATTCACCTCTGCCAATTACTTTCTGACCAACTCTGACAATCTTCTATAATTCCTTCAGAAAACAGCAAATAATTAAATAATCAGGATGAGACAGTCAAACAAAAATAAAATGATTGAAAGTAAATATAGAAATGGAGGCAAGAAAACACTGATAAATATGACATCAAAAATAAGTCTTCGGGCCTGGGCGCAGTGGCTCAAGCCTGTAATCTCAGCACTTTGGGAGGCTGCGGCAGGCTGATGGTTTTGAGCTTAGGAGGTCGAGACCAGCCTGGCAAAATGGCGGAAAGCCTGTCTCTACAAAAAATACAAAATTAGCAGGGTGTGGTGGCACATGCCTGTAGTCTCAGCTACTTGGAAGGCTGAGGCATGAGAATCATTTGAATCTGGGAAGCGAAGGTTGCAGTGAGCCAAGATTGCACCACTGCACTCCAGCCTGGGCAACAGAGCTAGGCTCTGTTAAAAAAAAAAAAAAAAAAGGAAAAGAAGCCTTAGAATCCTCATGACAATTATGACAATTGCAACTGCTTATTGATAAAATCTGATTTGTGTTTTTAGGAACTGGGAACTGTACAGATAGTAGGACTCATACCCAAACGGGTAAAATTTCCTCAAAGTCTTTCAGGGTTGGCATTGTAAAAGTGATGAGGTCAAGGTATAAGGCAAATATGGAAAGATCTTTCCCTTCCCCACTTTCATTCTAGCATATGACACTTTTAGTCTGGCTATTTCAGCTTTCTCTTCTCATAGGAAGTGGACACTCAGTGGGGAAGAGCAAAGAGATTTAGCTTAGATGTTACCCAGTAACTAGAACAAAGTCATGAATAATACAGAGTTGAAGTCAGAGACTAACTGTTTCAGTTAAGTGAAAACCATCTGGAATAATGAAAGAGGACTGGAATTAGTTTATAAGTTGCTAATTCCTGCTCTGGGCCAATGCTTATCAAACACTAGGCATTATACCAGTGCCAACACATTTAATCCTCAAATGAGGTGTCCCATTTTAAAGTTAAAGAAACAATGGATAGGAAAGGTGAGTTACCAAGCTCATGGGTGGAATTTTAATTCTTATGACAATCTTTAAAAACCTCTATATACATACTCTGGACCATCTAATACATAGGTCCTGGATGATAACCTTATAATCAAGTACTGCCATGCAATTTCAGGGACCTCATTTTGTTTATGTTTATGACTAAGTGAACTTCAAGTGAAGATCATATGACATTGAAGCTTACTCTAAGAATGAAGGTTTCCTAGCAGTGATGTGAGAACTGAGTCATCACCGGTCATCCACACCAATCCCATAAAAGCCTGCTCTGAACAGTCAGTGGCATACTCTTGCTGCCGGTAAGATGCACCACATGGGTCCCTTCATTAAAAATACCAATAAGCCACAGTTCACTAACAATAAGTACAGCAGTAAAGACTAAATGAATGTTCCAAATCTCAACAATAATTGGACCAGCCATTTATTTAAGGATTTCAAGAATGATGCTGTATTAGTTTCCCATTGCTGCCATACTTCAAACTCAGTGGCTTAAAACAACACAAATGTATTATCTTACAGTTCTTTATCTTAAAAGCTTGACATATGTCTCAGTGGGCTAAAATCAAGGTGCCAGCAGAGCTGTGTTGCCTTCTGAAGGCTCTGGGGCAGAATTTCTTTGCATTTCCCAGCTTGTAGAGACTGCCTGCATTCATTGACTCATGCTCCCTTTCCTCCATCTTCAAACGCAGAAACGGCCAGTTGAGTCCTTCTCCCATTTTATCATTCTGATGTTGTTTCTATGTTCAGACCTTTTTCTCTGACTCTTTTCTTCTACTCTTCTCCTCTACTTTTAAGAACCACTGTGTTAATATTTGGCCCACCTACATGATCCAGGATAACCTCCCTAGTTTAAGGTCAGCTGCTTAGCAATGTTACCCTTTGCCATGCAACCTAACATATTCACAAATTCTGGGAATTAGGAAATAGACATGGGGGGCAGGTATTACTCTGCTTACCACACTTATATGCTACTCTTGTCATCAAGTAAACAATATAACTCCACAGGGTTATCAAGTTGTTCCCATTAATGCTGACATTCAAAGACTGCTCACTGACAAAGATCAGCCTAAATATAATGCCTGATTTTAATGAACTAGCAAATAACATCTCAGTTATTAATACTTCTTTTTTAATAGTATATTTATATGAACATGCTTTCTCTGTACCAATCTTATTTGACTCACAATATAAATTTAGTATTTGATCTCCTCCTACTGTTTCCACTATTAAACTCTCTAACAATGATTTTGGTTGTTATAAAACACTGTTATTTGTCACATTATACTATTGATACTGCTTTGAATCCCATTGATTCCATTGTTTTTTTGTATTTAAATTGTGAATTTCTTTTGGTTTCATAGTTGTATTCGAACTATATGCATATAAAGTTTATACATAGGGCTTTGTTTCTTAAGTAATGGTATATTAAAAATAATTAAGTCAAAATGAGGGATCCATAAATTTATTTTTTCTTTAAAAGGAATTTATATAACTCTCAGTTTTAAGAAAAACTGGAATGCTGGAGCATTAACAGCATGGCATTTGGAATCAGGCTTGACCTCAACTACCAGCTCTGTGACTTACTAGCTGTGTGGCCTTGGATAAGCTGCTATTACTTTTTAGATAATGCAGTTTCCTTGTCTATAAAGTAAGCCTACTTTAGACACTGATCATGAAGATAATATTAAATTAAATAAGGAAAATGCTCCACACATTCAGCAGAAACTTGACAAAAAAAAAATGCTTGGTACAGTTCCTGACCACTATCAGGTACTCAATAAGTAAGAGCAATACTTATTTTATAAAACTGTATCCAAGCTTAAAGATAAATAAGACAATTTTCAGTGTCTAGCACGTTACATTTTCCCAACAAATATTAAACTGCAACTTTAAATGACTGAAAGAAACACATTATTGCACAATGAATATTTAAATTTTCTAGGGTCTAGTCAATTTTAAAATAATCTATTTATCTTTCAATTACTTATCTTATTTATCTCAATATTTACCTAACTTTTAAGTTTATAATTTATTCCAAG